>NW_003315915.1:188093-376187 GCF_000001405.40 Homo sapiens | reverse complement strand
AACAAGGTGAAACTCCGTCTCTACCAAAAAAAATGCAAAAAAATTAGCCAGGCATGGTAGCGGGCGCCTGTAGTCCCCGCTACTCGGGAGGCTGAGGCAGGAGAATGGTGTGAACCAGGGAGGCGGAGCTTGCAGTGAGCAGAGATAACGTCACTGCACTCCAGCTTGGGCAAAGGAGCGAGACTCCGTCTCAAAAAAAAAAAAAAGAAAAAGAAAAAGAAAAAATAGACAAATCATACTTAATTAAGTTGAAAATCTTGTCCTCTGAAGGACCAGATTTAAACTATAAAGAAAGAGGAAAGGTAGCACACAGAATTAAAGAAAGTATTTTCAAATTTAGTGCCTAATAAAGAATATGTATCCAGAATTTTAAAAGGCCACTTCAAACTCAACAATAAAAAGACATTTTTTTAAAATAGGCAAATGATTTGAATAGACATTTCTCCAAAAAAGACATAAAAATGGCCAATAAGCACATGACAACCTGCTCAACATCGTTAGTTATTAGGAAAATGCACATAAAAACCGCAATATGATAAGATTTCTTATCCATTATGCTCAAGGCCTTGGGAGCCCACTCCTCACACTAGTGTGTCCTGGAAGTGAAACATGAATTCAAAAGTGATTATTTGGGAGCTTTAAGATTTAATAACTGCCCTCCTGGGTTTCAGACTTGCATGAGGCCTATGTAGCCCCTTTCTTTCTAGGCAGTCTCTTTTCTCACTTTTGGAATGGGAGTATTTACCCAATGCCTATACTCTCATTGTATCTTGGAAGTAACTAACTTGTCTTTTGTTTTCTTTTTATTTTACAGACTCAGAGTTGAAAGGGGCTTGCCTTTTCTCAGATGAGACTTTGGATTCTGGACTTTTTGAGTTAATGCTGGAATGAGATAAGGCTTTGGAGGACTGCTGGGAAGGCATGACTGTATTTTGCAATGTGAGAAGTCCATGAGATATGGGGAGGGCCAGGGACAGAATGATATGGTTTCCATCTGTGTCGCCACCCCAATTTAATGTTCATTTGTAGTCCCCAGTGTTGAATATGGGTCCTGCTGGGAGAAAATTTGATCATGGGGGTGGGGTTCTCATCAATGGTTTAACACCATTCTTGATACTTTATAATGATAAATTTCTCATGAGATCTGGTTATTTAAAGGTGTGTAGCATCTCCACGCTCTCTCTCTCTTCCTCCTGCTCCAGCCATGTGAAGTGCTGGCTCACCCTTTGCCTTCCGCCATGATTGTAAGCTTCCTGAGGCTTCCCCAGAAGCAGAAGCCACTATGCTTCTTGTAAAGCCTGCAGAACCGTGAGCCAATTAAAACCCGTTTCTTTATAACTTACCCAGTCTCCATTATTTCTTTATAGCAATGTGAGAACAGCCTAATATACATTTGTTTGGCAAAATTAAAAAGATAGACAATAACCACCGTTGATAAGAATGTGGAGAGATTGAAACCCTCATACATCATTCATGGGAAAAAATTTTAAAACTAGAATTACTATATGACTGACCCAAAAATTACACTTTTACTCATACACCGGAGATAAATGAGTTTATATATTAAACCTTGTACATAAGAGTCCATAACAACATTATTCACAATACAAAAAAAGTGGAAATAACACAGATATCTATCACAAATTGATGAACAAATTGTGATATATTCACAAATAGAATGTCATTTGATCATAAAGTGTAATTGAATACTGATACACATTATAAAATGAATGGATGTAGAAAAGCAAGACGAAAGGACCACAAATTTTGTAATTTCATTTATATAAAATATTCAGAATAGACAATTCTATAGCAAAAGAAACTATATTAGTATTTACTAAGGATTATGGGGAGAGCGGGATGGGAGTAACGGCTAATGGGTATGGTATTTCTTTTGTGGTGATGTAAATTATCTCAAGTCAGATGAGTGAAAACACTAAAAATAATCCTCTTGTTGGATACATTTAAATGGGGAATTTTGTAGTATATAGTTTACATATTGATAAAGCTATTATTTTTTACATGTCAATAATGTTAAGGTTGAGAAACTTTTTTTTTAATTCTAAACTGGAAGTTTGGAGATGACACTTTTGCAGAAGTGGCAGTTTAGCTAAGACTTGAATTATAAATCTACTCATAGACCTGCGTATTAAAACAGAATAAAAAGTAAGAAAGAAAAAATGAAGGAAGTAAGGAACAGAAGGAGGGAGAGAGGGAGAAAGGAAAAAAGGAAGGAAGGAAGAAAAGAAGAAAGGAAGGAAGAAAGGAACAGATATAGAGAAAGGCAGGAAGAGAGGAAGATAGGGATAGAAAAGAGTAGAAAAAATACATTGAGAACAATAAAGCTAAGAGTGTTTTTGTTTTTTGCTTTGTTTATTCGTTAGTTTTAGTTTGTTATATAACCTTTTGGACGACATTTATTCCAGTGACTTTCCTAATGAAAAGCAGTACTGAGGAATTAGAGGCTTAGAGATGTTGATTAACTTACCCAACTCATGGAGCTCTTCGGTTTTAGTTCTAGCTGTTCAGTTTTAGTTTTAGCTTTAGGATGAGCCAGAAGCATTTGGTTCCTGTGTCATGTTTCTTACAGGAGAGAGAGAGAGTTTGGAACAAGGTGCCTGTGAAAATAGTAGATTTGTTCAGGACAAATAATTTGGAAGATAGTATGGAACAATCAGATGGAGATGATCAGTAGGAAGCTAGACCTTTGTTAATTTGAATAAAGGAGAGGCAGAAGACCACAGTTATTAAAAGCAAGTGGGTTTTTGAAACAGCCTGCCTGAATCCATGTCCAGCCTCCATCATTCATTAGTTTAGTCAATATATGCCTTAGTTTCAAATTTTCTTATTAGAGATACTAATTTTAATAGCTAACTCATAAAATTGAGTATTAAGTGTAAAGAATTTAGAAATGTGTTATTGCAAACTAAGGTCAAATGTTAGCTTTTACCTGTGGTGGTAGAATTCAGATAATTCAGGATATGAAAAGGAGAAATAGATATTGATGTCATTACACTCATGTAGTCAGCTGAATAGTTAGGTGTGCATAGAATTATGCAGGAAAAAAAGAAAGAGAAGAGAAGTAAGACCTGGGGAATTTTTATATGTTTTTATTTGATTTTGATTAAATATGGTTTTAATTTTTTAAGGCATAAATTGGGGCTGCGTTTGGACTCCAGATATATTGAATTAAAATGACTTTTGCTTTATTATTTGGACAAATAAAAGAAGATGTAATTTGACAGCAGAGGCATTTTATAGTGGTTATTCTAGAAAAGTGACTGTGACATGTGAAATTGTTCTGATTGTAATAACTAAAAGTAGGTACCACATTTGAAAAATGCTTTGGAAGAACATGTTTGATAGATGGGATATGGCTGACTAAGGACAAGAAGAAATCAAAGACGACTGCATATTTAATAGCCTGCTGAGCTAAGAGTATAATGGCAATATTGACAATGATGGAAATACAGAGAAGTTATAGCGAATAATGAACTTGGTTATAGACATGTTAAGTTTTAAGTGTCAGCTGGATATTCAAGCAGAGATATCTTGCAGAAAGCTGAAAATGAGACCTTGAAGAGCATATAGGCCTTAAATTTATTTTTTCAGCTTTCTATGTATTACTTTAATTTTTATATTTTCGTTCTCTTACTGTTTTGGCCATGAAATTCTTTCTCTAAGTTCCTTCTGATTTTTTTTAATATTCCATAGTGTAAACATCTGGAAATATTTTATTTTGTTTGAAGTTGTCTATTTTTAATGTAAAATCTAATTATTTTCTCACATTTCCTTCAATACATGAGGAGGTTATTTTATTCAGTTTTCTAATTTTCTTTTGAAATACTTAATTTGAAATTGCTAATAGCAAAATGTATTATATTCATAGATGCAATAAAGCAAAGTATAAAAATAACAACAACAAAACTAGCCCAGCAAAATTCCCAAGTTTTCATGTATTTGTCAAGCATTTTCTCATATTTTCCTTGTTTTGCTATTTTTTCTCTTGGCTAGCTTTATTTATGTAAATGTGTGATTCCATGCTGTTATTTCAAAAGTGCCCTGGGAGATATAGGAGGCCTCTATCAAATAAAGGATGAGGACTCGCATCCTTCCAGAGAGCTTCATCAATTTAAATTAAGTCTATAATTTATATTGCAGTTTCATATCTCTACAGTCCACAACAGTTTAATCTGACCTATACACAAATGTTTGAGTGAAGAAAGTGAGGTAGAAGACATGCTAATGTAGAACTGAATATTGGGGAAATTATTAGCATTAAAAGAAAATTTCAGTACTCTAATTTTCTATGTGCAAATGAAATCTTTCAACAGAACTCTAGCTTTCTAATATTATATGTCATTCACTCTTCATACTAGAAGCTATTATCCATTGAATATTCGCAGGCTTCCACACGAACGACCAATAGATGTTCAACAATGTGCACCAAGACTCTACCTCGGTCCCTAATTTTTTTGGCACCAGTGACTGGTCTTGTGGAAGAAAATTTTTTCCGCAGATGCAGGGAGAAGGGGATGATTTTAGGATGAAACTCTTTCAGTTCAGATAATCAGGCTTTAAATTCTCATAAGGAGTACACGACCTAAATTCCTCACATGTGCAGTTCACAATAGGGTTTGCACTCCTATGGGAATCTAATGCAGCAGTTGATCTGACAAGAGGGGGAGCTCAAGTGATGATGTTGGCTCACCTGCAGCTCACATCCTGCTGCATGGCCTGGCTCCTAACAGGCCATGGATGCATAGGTATCTGTCCACACCCTGGGGGTTGGAGACCCCTGCTCTCTGACAAACTATTGATTCCCAGAGGAATCAATAGTTAACACATTTTACAGAGGATTTGTTTATGACATATCTATAATCTGACTTTGGCAAAAAAATTCAGGAAATGACTAATATTTGACTCTATAGTGATAGAATAGTGGTGTAAATAACACAGGTGTATGCATTCACCAAAACTAAACATACTGCAAAAGGGAAGCTTTTGCATTTCATACTATGTAAACTCTACTTCAATAAAAATATTTAAAAATCTTTTATGACTTTTGTGTCACATCAAGGCTTACAGCATATTTTGTTGTTAAGTGTCTTTTCTCTCAGGCCTTTTAAAATATTTTTCAAAATTAAAAGTAATAGCAAAAATCGTGATTACTATTGCACCAACCTAATAGTAGATACTTGTCACTGTAAAGTTTGAACTGATAAATTATATTATTTGTGTGTTAATAAAATGATTTCACTAGAAAGTGCTGTACATCACTTTAGATAGCACAAGAATAATCCATGCCATAGCATGGTGTTCACAGAAGTTTTTTAAAAATCACTACTAACGTCTCATGATTACTGATAAAGTTAACTTTTTAAGAAAGATATTCAGGTCACTTTTTTCTTTTTTTATTATTATTATACTTTAAATTCTGGGATACTTGTGCAGAACGTGCAGGGTTGTTGCATAGGCATATGCCATGGTGGTTTGCTGCACCCAACAAACCATCATCTAGGTTTTAAGCCCCGCATGCATTAGGTATTTCTCCTAATCCTATCCCTCCCCTTGCCTCTCACCCCACGGCACGTTCTGGTGTGTGATGTTCCCCTCCTTGTGTCCATGTGTTCTCAATGTTCAACTCCCACTTATGAGTTAGAACATGCAGTGTTTGGTTTTCTGTTCCTGTGTTAGTTTGCTGAGAGCGATGGTTTCCAGCTTCATCCATGTCCCTGCAAAGGATATGAATTCACTCTTTTTTTATGGCTGCATAGAATTCCATGGTATATATGTGACACGTTTTCTTTATCCAGTCTATCATTGATGGGCATTTGGGTTGGTTCCAAGTCTTTGCTATTGTAAACAGTGCTGCAGTTTACATATATGTGCATCTGTCTTTACACTGGAATGATTTATAGCCCTTTGGGTAAATACCCAGTAAAGGGATTGCTGGGTCGAAGGATATTTCTGGTTCTAGATCCTTCAGGAATTGCCACACTGTCTTCCACAATGATTGAACTAATTTATACTCCCACCAACAGTGTAAAAGCATTCCTATTTCTCCACATCCTCCCTAGCATCTGTTGTTTCCTGACTTTTTAATGATAGTCATTCTAACTGGCATGAGATGGTATCTCATTGAGGTTTTAATTTGCATTTCTCTAATGATGAGCTTTTTTCATGTTTGTTGGCCACATAAATGCCTTCTTTTAAGAAGTGTCTGTTCATATCCTTCACCTACTTTTTGATGGCTTTGTTTGCTTTTTTCTTGTAAATTTGTTAAATTCCTTATAGATTCTGGATATCAGACCTTTGTCAAATGGACAGATTGCAAAAATTTTCTCCCTCTATAGGTTGCCTCTTCACTGTGATGATAGTTCTTTTGTTGTGCAAAATCTCGTTGGCTTAATTAGATCCCATATGTCAATTTGGCTTTTGTTACCAATGCTTTTGGTATTTTAGTCATGAAGTCTTTGCCCATGCCTATGTCCTGAATGGTATTGCCTAGGTTTTCTTCTAAGGTTTTTTTATGGTTTTAGGTCTTACGTTTAAGTCTTTAATCCATCTTGAGTTAATTTTTGTATAAGGTGTAAGGAAGGGGTTCAGTTTCAGTTTTCTGCATATGGCTAGCCAGTTTTCCCAACACCGCTTATTAAATAGGGAACCCTTTCCCCATTGCTTGTTTTTGTCAGGTTTGTCAAAGATCAGATGGTTGTAGATGTGTGGCATTATTTCTGAGGTCTCTGTTTTGTTCCATTGGTCCATATATCTGTATTGGTAACATTATCATGCTGTTTTGGTTACTGTAGCCCTGTAGTATAGTTTGAAGTCAGGTAGTGCGATGTCTCCAGCTTTGCTCTTTTTGCTTAGGATTGTCTTGGCTATATAGACTCTTTTTTGGTTCCATGTGAAATTTAAAGTAGTTTTTTCTAATTCTGTGAGGAAAGTCAATGGAAACTTAATAGGAATAACAATGAATCTATAAATTACTTTGGGCAGTATGGCCATTTTCACGATATTGATTCCTCTTACCTATGAGCATGGAATGTTTTTCCATTTGTTTGTGTCCTCTCTTATTTCCTTGTAGTTCTCCCTGAAGAGGTCCTTCACATCCCTTGTTAAGTTGTATTCCTAGGTATAGGAATTCTCTTTATTCTCTTTATAGCAATTGTGAATGGGAGTTCACTCATGATTTGGCTCTCTGTCTATTATTGGTGTATGGAATGCTTGTGATTTTTGCATATTGATTTTGTATCCTGAGACTTTGCTGAAGTTGCTTATCAGCTTAAGGAGTTTTGGGGCTGAGACAATGTGGTTTTGTAGATATACAATCATGTCATCTGCAAACAGAAACTATCTGACTTCCTCTGTTCCTATTTGAATGCCCTTTATTTCTTTCTCTTGCCTGATTGCCCTGGACAGAACTTCCAATATTATGTTGAATAAAAGTGGTGAGAGAGGGCATCCTTGTTTTGTTCTGGTTTTCAAAGGGAATGCTTCCAGCTTTTGCCCATTCAGTAGGATATTGGCTGTGGGTTTGTCATAAATAGCTCTTATTATTTTCAGGTATGTTACATCAGTACCAAGTTTATTGAGAGTTTTTAGCATGAAAGGGTGTCAAATTTTATCCAAGGCCTTTTCTGCATCTATTGAGATAATCATGTGTTTTTTGTCATTGGTTCTGTTTATGTGATGGATTATATTTATTGATTTTTGTATGTTTATCCAGCCTGGCATCACAGGGATGAAGCTGACTTGATTGTGGTGGATAAGCTTTTTGATGTGCTGCTGGATTCAGTTTGCCAGTATTTTATTGAGGATTTTCGCATTGATGTTCATCATGGATATTGGCCTGAAATTTTTTTTATTATTGTGTCTCTGCCAGGTTTTGGTATCAGGATGACACTGGTCTCACAAAATGAGTTAGGGAGGAGTCCTTCTTTTTCTGTTGTTTGGAATAGTTTCAGAAGGAATGGTACCAGCTACTTTTTGTATCTCTGGTAGAATTCGGCTTTGAATCCGTCTGGTCCTGAGCTTTTTTGGTTGGTAGGCTCTTAACTACTGCCTCAATTTCAGAACTCGTTATTGGTCTGTTCAGGGATTTAACTTCTTCCTGGTTTAGTCTTGGGAGTGTGTATGTGTCTGGGAATTTATCCATTTCCTCTAGATTTTCTAGTTTATTTGCACACAGCTGTTTATAGTATTCTGTGATGGTAGTTTGTATTTCTGTGGGATCAGTGGTGATATCCCCTTTATCATTTTCTACTGTGTCTATTTGTTTCTTCTCTCTTTTCTTCTTTATTAGCCTGGCAAGTGGTCTATGTATTTTGTTAATCTTTTCAAAAAACCACCTCCTGGATTCATTGATTTTTTGAAAGGTTTTTTGTGTCTCTGTCTCCTTCAGTTCTGCTCTGATCTTAGTTATTTCTTGTCTTCTGCTAGCTTTTGAATTTGCTTGCTCTTGGTTCTCTAGTTCTTTTAACTGTGAAGATAGGGTGCCGATTTTAGATCTTTTTCACTTTCTCCTGTGAGCATTTAGTGCTATAAATTTCCCTCTAAACATTGCTTTGGCTGTGTCCCAGAGATTCTGGTACGTTGTGTCTTTGTTCTCATTG
This sequence comes from Homo sapiens, assembly GCF_000001405.40. Classification (NCBI taxonomy): domain Eukaryota; kingdom Metazoa; phylum Chordata; class Mammalia; order Primates; family Hominidae; genus Homo; species Homo sapiens. Next base: position 367,569 of record NW_003315915.1, on the reverse strand, counting down.
GTTTCAAATAACTTATTTATTTTTGCCTTAATTTCTCTATGTACCCAGTAGTCATTCAGGAGCAGTTGTTCAGTTTCCATGTAGTTGTGCAGTTTTTAGCGAGTTTCTTAACCCTGAGTTCTAATTTGATTGCACTGTGGTCTGGGAGATTATTTGTTATGATTTCCATTCTTTTGCATTTGCTGAGGAGTGCTTTACTTTCAATTATGTGGTCAATTTTAGAATAAGTGCAATGTGGTGCTGAGAAGGATGTATATTCTGTTGATGGAGTGGAGAGTTCTGTAGATGTCTATTAGGTCCCCTTGGTCCAAAGCTGAGTTCAAGTCCTGAATATCCTTATTAATTTTCTGTCTTGTTGAGCTGTCTAATATTGACAGTGGGGTGTTAAAGTTTCCCACTATTTTCGTGTGGGACTCTAAGTCTCTTTGTAGGTCTCTAAGAACTTGCTTTATGAATCTGGGTGCTCCTGTATTGGATGCATGTATATTTAGGATAGTTAGCTCTTTTTGTTGCATTGACCCCTTTACCATTATGTAATGCCCTTGTCTGTTTTTTTTTATTATACTTGAAGTTTTAGGGTACATGTGCACAACGTGCAGGTTTGTTACATATGTATACACGTGCCATGTTGGTGTGCTGCACCTATTTGTCTGTTTTGATCTTTGTTGGTTTAAAGTCTGTTTTATTGGAGGCTAGGATTGCAACCCCTGCTTTTTTTTGCTTTCCATTTGCTTGGTAAATATTTCTCCATCCCTTTATTTTGAGCTTATGCATGTCTTTGCGTGTGAAATTGTTCTCCCTAACACAACACACTGATGAGTCTTGACTCTTTATCTAATTTGCCAGTCTGTGTCTTTTAATTGGAACATTTAGTTCATTTATGTTTAAGGTTAATATTGTTATGTGTGAATTTTATCCTGTCATCATGATGCTAACTGTTTATTCTGCCCATTAGTTGATGCAGTTTCTTCACAGTGTGGTTGCTCTTTATATTTGGGTATGTTTCTGCAGTGGCTCATACTGGTTTTTCCTTTCAATATTTAGTGCTTCCTTCAGGAGTTCTTGTAAGTCAGGCCTGGTGGCTATAAAAATCCCTCAGCATTTGCTTGCCTGTAAGGGATTTTACTTGTCCTTCACTTGTGAAGCTTAGTTTGTCTGGATATAAAATTCTGGGTTGACAATTCTTTTCTTTAAGAATGTTGAATATTGGCCCCCACTCTCTTCTGGCTTGTAAGGTTTCCACAGAGAGATCCACTGTTAGTCTGATGGACTTCCCTTTATAAGTAACCTGACCTTTCTCTCTGGCTGCCTTTAACATTTTTTTCCTTCATTTCAACCTTGGTGAATCTGACGATTATGTGTCTTGGGGTTGCTCTTCTTGAGGAGTATCTTAGTGGTGTTCACTGTATTTCCTGAATTGAATGTTGGCTGTCTTGCTAGGTTGGAGAAGTTCTCCTGGATAATATCCTGAATTGTGTTCTCCAACTTGATTCCATTCTCCCCGTCACTTTCAGGTACCCCAATCAACCATAGGTTTGGTCTTTTCACATAGTCCCATATTTCTTGGAGGCTTTTTTCATTCCTTTTCATTCTTTTTTGCTCTAATATTGTCTTCACACTATATTTCATTAAGATGATCTTCAATCTCTGATCTCCTTTCTTCCTCTTGATCCATTCGGCTATTGATACTTGTGTATGCTTCACGAAGTTCTCCTGCTGTGTTTTTCAGCTCCATCAGGTCATTTATGTTCTTCTCTAAATGGGTTATACTAGTTAGCAGTTCCTATAACCTTTTATCAAGACTCTTAGCTTCCTTGCACTGGGTTAGAACATGCTCCTTTAGTTCAGAGGAGTTTGCTATTACGACCTTCTGAAGCCTACTTTTGTCAATTCGTCAAACTCATTCTCCTTCCAGCTTTGTTCCCTTGCTGGTGAAGAGTTGTGATCCTTTGGAGGAAAAGAGGCATTCTGGTTTTTTTTGGAATTTTCAGCATTTTTGTGCTGGTTTTTCTCATCTTTGTGGATTTACCTACCTTTGATCTTTGATGCCGATGACCTTTGGGTGGGGTCTTTGCGTGGGCGTCCTTTTTGTGGATGTTGATGTTATTGCTTTCTGTTTGTTAGTTTTCCTTCTAACAGTCAGGCCCCTCTTCTGCAGGTCTACTGGAGTTTGCTGGAGGCAAGTCACTTTTTTCTACTTTTATTGTTTAGCTAGCTGCTGCAGAGTGCCTTTGAATAAAGCAGCAAATTCAAAACTCAGACAATATTCATAAAGCATGAATATAGCAGTTTATTTTATGTGATTATTTTATTTATAGTGTTAGTACTACTTAAAAACAAAGTGTAGTTTTTTTGTGTAATAGTAAAAATGCATATGTGAAATAAGATATCAAGAAAAAAATCGTTTGATTCAGAAGTTTTGAAATATATTTGTATATGACAGATCCTATTTTAAACACTGGTGATCTGATAGCAAAAGCAAAAATAAAAATAAAAAAATACCCTGTTGTCATAAATATTGCACTATACTAATGGATAAATAAAAATTAAAATAAGGAAATAAAAATATAATGTTAAATAGTAATGCAGAAAGGGGAAAAAGCAAATTAAAATGAATAAAGGAATGATAGAAAGTGCTACTCAAAATAGAGTCATTAGGAAAGTTGTACTGAAGAGGTAATATCACAGTAGAGGTCTAAATGGTGAGAAAATAAGACACTAAAGATTTTGCAAATGTAGTTTCCAACAGAGGGAATATGAGAGAGTATAGCACCACTATCTTTCTGTACAATTTAAATTCCAAACTCTAGCAAGGTATTGTATTTTTAAAAAATACCTTTAGCACCAATGTATTTCTTGATATATTAAGTTTTAAAATGTAATACATGTAGGAAGTTGGCTCTATCAATATATCTAGAATTGTACTTTTTTTTCCAATTTCTACAGCTGCCCTCATTATTGAAATAAACACCATTTAGTACCTGCGTTACTACCAATGCCAGAAAACTGTTATGCCTTTACCCCATATTTCACCATAGGGACATAAAAATCTACTTTAAAACTAAGACAAATAATATAATGTCTCTGTTCCAAACCCTGCCAATGATCCCTCTGTTACTTAGAGTAAAGGCAAAGTCCTTGCAGTGGTCTTCAAGGATCCACGTGATTGGGCCTGCAACTTTTTCCTCTACTCCAGCAACTCTTCCATGAAAGCATTAGTCTTGTTTCTTCTACCCCAGGGCCATTGCACTAGCTGTCCTCTCCGCTTGGAATGATTTTCCCTAAGAAATCAGACTCAGGGAAGAGTCAGATCCCTTTATTTCTTTACAGTCTTGAACGGAACGTTATATTATCTTTCTATATCCAACCAAGAATGCCTATTCCCCTTATTAAGCTTGATTTTATACTCCCAAATTTATCTTCTTGCTACTATGTTATTTGTATATTTATTGTTTCTGTTTATCTGTTTTATGTCTCCCCACTTATAATTTAATCTGCATAACTTCTTGCTTTGTTAACTAAAGTATTACTAGTAACTTGTACAATGACTAGCTCACAGTAACTCTTTTATATATATCTTTGTGCATAAAATGGTAGATTAAAACAAATGAAAACAAAGATTATTTGCATTCAATTTCACATATTTATATCTGTGTGAGATCAGCATTATACTGTCTTAGGTTGATTTAGTACTACAACTTGACATTGTTGATTTAAGATTTGTTTGGAGAAAATTGAGAAGGGTTAAAAATTAATCAGTATAGTAAACAATTATTATAGAATCCCTGAATATCTTTCAAAATAGAAGATTAGTCTTCAGCAGCCATGTCTTTTTGTTCTGATTGATTGATTTGGATGGTATTGTCTCATATGTAGCTGTATATCCTACAGAAATTGTAGGAAATTGATCTAGAGTTTGAATCCTATGATTCTGTTGCTGAGGCACATGGGAATATGATCTTAAATTGTACCTTGGGGTACACCCCACACACAAATGCCACATGTGAGAGGTATCTTCAGGTGTGATGAACAGTCTGCATACCTCTGTAGAGAATAATGTCACAAATGACTAACTGAGAAATAATATTATAGAATTGTCCTGAAAACTGGAACACTAGCTATAATAGAAACAGAGAATTTGTCTAAAATAGATAAATAACTTCACAAGTTTTTGGTATCCCAGTTATTGGTCACCAGTATGTACTTCAAGCAGAGACAATGTGTCTTTTTACTAATAGGTCCCTCTGTGACTATATAGGGCACATATACTGGGGAGTGAAGAATAGAGAGGAGTCACTTTGTTCCTCTGTCCACGTACCCTGCAGAGCTTTCTTGGTCCATAGTTTGTAAAAGTTTCTCTTACACTTCTGGATATTGCTCTGCCCCCAGGGACTAAAACATTTCAGAACATAAAAAGTTGCTGCAGTTGTTTGAAACAACTTTTATTTTTTCAGGAAAGAGTGAGCCAACAATTTAATAAGAGGGCAGATAGTCACAAGACTAGTGGGAAAAGGATATTTCATCTAATATCTAAAATGCTATACAAAAAGATTTGTAAAATGTATGATGTTCTTTGGGTTATGAGTAAAAAAGAAAATGAAAAGACATAAATAATAAAATGGACCCAATAGAGTTTATGTAAATATTTGTCTAGCGATGTGCAAGCACCACACAGACCTGAAATAATATTCACAGGTCCAGAGGGCAACTGTCTGTCAAATTTAAGTATTTATTTCAGCATCTTATTTCGATATCTTCTGTGGCCTTCAAGGTAGCTGTATTGAGCATCCTGAAACTGAAATGTCAGCACCTATCTACATATGTGAAATGTCAAGATTTCTAGAAATTAGTTTATTTCAGTTGAAAAAGTAGAAAACTGGTGATTCGTCAAAAGGGACAATTTGAAGACAGACTGAACATATTAACCCCTTGTTATAGCACTATTTGCCTCTCAGTGCTACTCAGAATTATGCAGTAGACTCAGAATGTGAATATTTCTTCACTTTTGTGGTGAAGGCAGTGGTCGTCAGTTGAATCTCTGCAACTGTTTTCTTATGTAGAACCAAGTTACTTCCGTTTGTTACTTCCCAAGAAGACTGAAAAATGCATACATTGACATCTGAAAATTGAGAATCGGTATGAAGTGATCAGAGGAGAAAAAAGACCTTTTAACTAACAACATTAGTGGGTCAAAAGAACTTCTCTTAAAAATATAGTTTCACAATCTCACTGTGATATCAATTCTCCCAGTATTGATTTATTCTTTTAACCTTAGAGTTAATGTACTGAGAAGATTTTTGGAATGCAGATTGCATAGTTATTATAATAACAATAAATACTTTCTATTTTTCCATGCTTGTGTAAATGATTAACACTTCAGAGCTGAACTGGTGACCTTTCCTGTTATTTATCTTCAGCACCTTCCACTCTATTGGGGCACGTGGATTATACCTTACAAGCTATCTGTAACAATATAAGCAATAAATAAGAAAATAAGTACATATTTTAGAATAAATTAGAATATCAAATTGCTTTTTAGTTGAATTAGTTTATTCATAAAAATATAAATATTTATCAAATGTCTATTAATGTCAGGTGCTAGGAAGGCAATTATTTACATGACACAGTACCATCTTCGAAATCTCCTTGATCTAGAAGAGGAAAATAAAGTAGTAAAACATATTATAATGGCTATGGTGCTATCGTATCCTGTGGGTTCGAAGGAATAAAAAGTCTATTTTTTCTGTGAAGATCAAAAAACACTTTCTACAGCTGAGTCTTGAAAGTGGGAAATTATGGCATATTGGAACATGATGAGATAAAGGAACATGAGCAAGGAACATCGGAATGGATAATGGGAGTTTGAGCCTGTTTTAAGAGTTCTATTTCTGTACCACAGGATAAGGATGGTGGTAGAGAAGCATGTAGAGGAAAATTCACAGAAGTTCATGTATGTTACATTAGACATTAAGAAGGTAAACATATGATCAATATATCAATGGAGTATAGGTAATTGGATGTAAAACAGCATAATTTTAATGGGAAGGACATGGTTAAACCTAGGTATGGAATATGTAACACTAATCAGGAAAGGTAAAGGTTCAGGTTTTAGTCAAATAAACAGTAAGTTCACCTAATATGACAGTAAAAAAATGGAAATTATCTCTTTCTTATTTATAAAGATGGGATTGTAATTCTGGGGGTTTTTATGGTTAGAGAAAATGAGGCTTGCTGTGAAGAAATACATTAGACAAAAAGACTATTAGGTTTGGAATACTTTTTATATAACTCAATTGACTTTGTATAACCGAATTGATCTATTCTATTTCTTTAATCAAATTTTTTCCGGAGTATAGAAACATATTTTTTGTGCTGATATCCTCAGGATGTCAGTAAAAACATATGTGTTATATGTATTATATCCAAAAGAAAAATGAATGTACATTTCATTTTTAAAAAAGTTAGCTACAGACTGAAAATGATGGTTTTAGGGATATGAGCATTTCATACTAAAATTTGGGAGTAAACAGTTTTACTCAAGTTATAGAAATTAAACGTATTATCAGTACTAAGAGGAATTGTTGGTTTACAGTTCAGTCATTTCGTCATAGAGTACTGAATTAATTCATAAGATTAATCAAAATTCCCCAATATTTAAGTATAACTTGAATACATAGTGGATGAATTAACTTTATTCAACAATATTTTATTAAACATATGCTACAGTATTAGATGCTGAGAAGATAAAATTGGTTAAAATATCATTTTGCTAAAAAATATTACAGAGCTACTGTATATGAAAGCCAACTTAGAACCAAGTTACGTCAGTCAGGCAGCTTTGCAGGGCATCAGACTTGAAAAAACTTAGTTTTACTTTTTTTAAAAAAAGTAATTTTTGTGAGTGTATAGTAGGTTTAAATACTTATGGGGTATAAGAGATGTTTTGATACAGGCGTGAAATAGGTAATTATCACATCATGAAAAATAGGGTTTACACCCTCTTACAATCCAATTATAAGACCTAGTATTTGATGGCAGAACAGAGTGACTATAATCAATAACAACTTAGGGTTTTAAAGAAACATGGGCGTATCAGATACAAAGTGAATGCTCGCTCAAAATTATTCACCTAGTTTATAATATTAAGAACATGCACATTTTCTAGATTTTGAGGGAAAGAAATTGTTTTCCTCTTTGGGGAGATATTTAATGTATGATATCTATGAGTAATCATGAGTGGTGACTCATGAAATTTTCAAAAGTCTACGGAGTAATTAATTTGGTATTGAATTATTAATTAGGTTTGTATTAAACATCTGTCACAAAATTACTGCAAATATTCTTCAAATAGAATGAGCATTAAGTTAACCTTTCTGTATATATGAGTATAAATACTTAAAAAACTAATTGCATTTAATGTGATTTGCCACATTAGCTATATATCACTACATAAATATTCTTGTTAAACTAATTATCACCAACTAGGAGTTAGACAAGTTGATTTACAGATGTGTCAATAAGCCTGATCAACTTTTTATGGAAGATATTAGTATCCTCATGGTTTAGATGAGTAAGCTAGGACTAGTGTCTTTACTTCCCAATGCACTTTAAATCGTAGGTTATAGAGTGGATCCACCACTATCTCAAAACACATGTATTTAAAGCTATACCATGTTGCATCATCCTTAATTAAATTCAGAATTGGGTTTGGTTTTAAATTATCACTTATTGTATTATGGGATAGGAATACACTTTTGAAATTTTGTTTTGTTTGTTTTTTTGAGGCGGAGTTTTGCTCTTGTTACCCAGGCTGGAGTGCAGTGGTGTGATCTCAGCTCACTGCAGCCTCCACCTCCTGGGTTCAAGTGATTCTCCTGCCTCAGCCTCCCAAGTAGCTGGGACTATATGGGTGTCCACCTCCATGCCCGGCTAATTTTTTGTATTTTTAGTAGAGACAGGGTTTCGACTTGTTGGCCAGGATGGTCTCGATCTCCTGACCTCGTGATCTGCCCACCTTGGCCTCCCAAAGTGCTGGTATTACAGGAGTGAACCACCACGCCAGGCCAGAAATCTACAAAAGTTTGATTTCACATGTTAATTCCTTTTTCCTTCTCAAGATGTTTTTCACAGCTTATGTAAAATGTCAGGGTCCCTAGAAATTTCACTCTAGAAGTTAAAGAAAACTTATGTCATATGAATGACATGGCAGAAAGACAAAAGAATTACATAAGAAAAATACTTAAATGACTAAAACAGAAACTAGTTAAGGAAAATAAACGTGTTTACTCATGATACAGTGGCAATATAAGAGCTGATATTTTTATTCTCTATAGCAGTGGTTTACCGGAAAGGCATGAATAGCCCTCAAGCTTGGTTGAGTGAACATAAAATATTTATAATGTTTGATGTTGTTTCAAAGTTTATGGTTATGAATTATTATGATCTCATTTCCTGATGTATTTTGTTTTTATTAAATTATGTAAACACAGAATAGTATAATGTTCCCTTCACTTTTGACTTAAAGTCAAATGGAAGTTTACATGTGTTCGTTGGACATTATTACATATTATTGATATTATTTTCTTGTGTATTCAAATAGATACTAAACTGTCACTAACACATGGAACTAACAGCAATGAAATGGTAAACTATGATTGCAATTAGGAGAACTCCACTCTGTCTCTTTCTTTCTCTCTCTCCCTTTCTGCACATCTCATAATTTTTGGTTGAAAATTGTACACTTTAAATAATATAAAGTTGCGATTCTTGATATGAGCATATTCCCAAGGCTGTTGTTATTGCTGTTTGTCATTGTTTTTGGTTTAGTGAATTTTCTGATACAATTCTCTAAAATCTGTATTCTTTATCATGAGCAGTCTCTGCTCAGTTAACTTAGTAGTCATTCAATGATTGGACAAAGAGTTCCTTAGCTGCCAGGAACCAGTAAGTATTCTAATCTTTGTAAATAAATTCTGTATGCATGTTGGGTTATGCCTTCAATACTCAGCCTGAAACTGACAATCCTGATTCGGACTTCACTTTCTCCTTATGCATATTCTCAAGATTAACTAGAACAGAGAGATTAGGGCCTTCCCGGATCATCTTGATGTATGTACACAGTCTTGGGCATGCACAAAGTCCTCTGCATGCATGTGTTCCTTCTAGACTTCCAGGAATAGGTGGATAATCCCTAACACTATTTCATTATCCAGATTTTCCTTGAAAGGTTTTCAATCAGTTGTTCATTTCAACTCCTATTCACACTCTTAGGCTGTGAAATTTAACAATTGCCTATCTACGTATATATATATATATATTTTTTATTTTTTATTTTTACAACTACCCCTGGGGAAAAGGCTTTTCACACCAGGTGAGCTCTAAGTTAAGTCCAATACAAATAGCTTCATAAGTGAGATATTCCGGGAAACCACCAGACAGATAAAATACTGATAATTCTCTTGCAATGAGCTTTTAAGGAGCTTCTAATTTTACTCATATATATATATATATATATATATATATATATACACACACACACACACACACACACACACACATACATATATATACACACATATATACACATATATACATATATATACACACATATATACACATATATACATATATATACACACATATATACACATATATATACATATATATATGTAAAGCTGTCTAAAATATGTATACATGGGTAAAATTAGGGGGTCCAGAAAAGTAGATAGATAATTGAATTGAATTACTATATTTGATATTATGCAAGATAATATAAAATATATGTGAATTGTTTAGCACATGAAACATGATCTTTAATAAAATGACATAATTTTCAACCATAATTTGTACAATGGTTCCATGAAAGTCATATTAATATATGTATATATAACTCATAGCTAAGTTAGGGCCTTTGAATTTAGGGAGAGTTAGTACCCTTTTTGAGTTCTTAATCTTAGATACTGCTGAATAATATTTTAGAATTCCAGAATAAATTGGCCCATTTTTAAGAACACCTCACAATGTAAATGCTTACACATTGATTTATTTTTAAGGTATGTTTGTACAAATATAATTATACATAAATCAGATGGCTATACCTGAAGGAAAAATGTAAGAACCTCTGCATTTGTTGTCCCTTCTGCCTAGAATGTTCTTTTCCTAGATCTCTATCCCCTCTATATACCTGGAATACATGTAGCACATACTTGACAAATCTTTGCTGAATTATTATGCTTCATCTGTGAAAACCAAATCCTATTCTTTCTTTTTACCTGTGATTCACCTACTGCACTGTTCTATATAGCATATCAAAATGAGAGCATTTCTCATTTTGATAAATATTCCTATATTTTCCTGTTTTGATGAGTGATGAAAAACTTTTTTTCAGATACAGTGTTTTTCAAAATGGAATAACAAGTTTTTGTTAAAAGTTTATAATTTGCAAGTAATTTCTCTTTTCTTAAATTACAAACTATGGTTTTTTTTGAAATTGAATCTTGAACATAAATTATGTCAGAGTTGCATTGTCTTTTTTGCATGTTTACTTCAAAATCCATGAAGATTAATTTGTATTTGAATGAATATGCTTGCTATTTGTTTATCTAATACAATATATAACCCCTTCTCAGGTGGTAGTGTTTTTGGAATAATGTTCAGTAGTAGTATATGGATACATAGTATCATGGAAAGGAAGCTCCCTGTTAGATCTAAAAAGTTCCTGAAGGGACAGCTAATCTTGCAACTAATTTTTGACATCCTAGGTTCCTATATTAACTTTTCTACCACTATTATACTTTAAAGTATTATTTTTATAGATTTTTGTGAAGACAATTTAACTAGTACCAGTCTTTCTTTCAAACTGTGAAACTATGTATCTCCTTAGGCAAACTTTTAATGATTTTAATGATATATATATAGCCTTAGGCAACCTTTTAATGATTTCAGATTTAAAATGAAATTTCTACTTCATAGTATCCATTATACCTTTTAAAACTAACTAACACTTTTCTAATACCATTATTCAATCACCTAGCTCATGCAATTCTGCTTACCTCCAATTACTTCAAAGGTTGGCTGAGATTGAGGTCTACATTTTAATATATAGGCTGGCAAATTAATAAAAGACCTGGAATGATATTTACCCTGACTAAAAACACTGTTAAAGATATAAAAGAAAATTGTTTGGCCAGAATGTCTTTTATTATGTCTGCTGCCTCATTGCTGTAATACAAGACTCACTGGACTCAGACACCCACCAGCAAATCTTTCTATCATTGTTGCATCAAAAACAACCTCAAGCCTTTTAGAAAATTAGATTTGTCAACATTATTGAGTTGTGTGGCCAAATACACAGTAGATGAGAGTGAAAGATCGTAACTTAAGCCCTTAAAGCTTTTTATAGGAATGTATTATTTAAGTTTATATTGCATTCACCTTTCCCAAGTGTGCACTGGGTGTGCTATCGTTTGATTGTTTATAAATGTTTTATGAGATATTACATTCACTATTTTTATATTTGTTGGCATACATAAGAATATTTGTTTTATTGTTTTCTTTTGTAGAACTTTGGAGACATTAATACTATAAGAGGAAACTCAGGAATTTATATTTCAATATAAAATCAGTTGAAGACAGAAGACCTCTCACCTGGCATAAGATGTGTGATCCATTATATGGCTAGCACAAAGTTGTGAGGCATCTATTTTGACTGTTTTCACATCTAATTTAGGAATATGTAATTTTAAAGATGGAAATGGTATTCAGATCATATAGATTATTTTGCATATGTGAATAATGCGTAACAGATCTGTTAAATGACTTCACATGGGTCAAACATTTAATTAAGAAGATATCTGCTAAAATAAATAGCATGTGATTCCTAATTCAATGAACTTCTACAGGCATGTAATCTTCTTTATGTCTATGTTTTGAAGTAAATCTAGTTATAATTATTATACTGCCATATTAAGCATTTTGGAAATTTTACATAAAAATAAAAATATGAGTATATAGCTATATATATAAATGAGTAGATACAATTAGTGAATATATGTGTCTATGTATGCATATAAAACACTACGGAGAAATCTCTCAGGAAAGAAAATGTTCTACTAAATTAAAATTATTAAATTCAGCTTAGTCAGTAGCTATGAAAAATTTTACCTTCTCTCTACTGACTTTAAGGTTTATGGAAAAATGTAATTTTACTGTTATTTTAATGGATAAATTTCAACATACATTTTTTTGAATTGATACTCTCTTCTAAACTAATTTTCACCTAAATTTATGTGTTTTTGAAGCCATTATTACATTTAATAAAATTATCACACAAAAACAATGAATATGTGTAAGAATCATGACTATAAAAGGTTAATTGCTTAATTATTTTACTTTTTTTATAATGTCTGATTTAGTTTGCCCATAGTATATCTACATTTGTATACATATGTGCATATACGTATGTATGAGGTTTCATAAGATTATAATAGAGCTGCCCTATACAGGTGCATCTTTCTATCTTTAAAAAAATGTTTTATTAATAATTAACAAATAATAATTGTACAAATATATGAAGTATACTGTAATGCTCCAATGCATGTATACATTGTATAATTACTAAATCAGAGACATTATCATATTCATTACTTTAAACATTTATCTCTTCTTTTTGGTGATAAAATTAAACATTTTCTCTTCTTGCTATCTTGAAATACACACTGCATTATTATTTGTTAGTCACTGTACTGTGTAACAGAACACCAGAATTTATCCTTCTTCTCTAATTGTAACTTTGAACCGCTTGAGCCATCTCTCCCAGTCTTCCTCTCTTCTACTCTCTCTAGCCTCGGTAACCACTATTCTACTTTCTACATCTATGAAATCAACTCTTTCGGATTCCACATATGAGTGAGATCATGCAGTATTTGTTTTTCTGTGCCTAGGTTATTACCCTTAACTATGTCTTCTGGGTTCATTCATGTTATGTCAAATGACAGGATTTCATTCTGTTTTAAGGCTGAATAGCATTCCATTGTTTATATACACATTTATCTTTACCAATTATCTGTAGATGAACACTTAATTTGATTCAGTATCTTGGCTATTGTGAATAGCACTACAATAATGATGGGAGTGCAGATATCTCTTCAACACACTTATTTCATCTCCTTTGCATATATACTCAATAATGAGATTGCTGAATCATATGGTATGATAGTTCTAGTTTTAATTTTTTGAAGAAACTTCATATTGTTTTTTATAATGGCTTTGCTTATTTACGTTCTCACCAGCAGTGTATAAGAATTTCTCTTTCTCCACATCCTTATCAGCATTTGTTTGTTTTCTTTTTGATAAAAACCGTTCTAACCATAGTGAGGCAGTATCTCATTGTGGTTTTGATTGCATTTCCCTGATGATTAGTGCTTTTGTCCATTTCCTTTGCTTAGAACAGATTACATGAACCTTGTCGATTTATAAAGTAAAAAAAAATTATTTCTTGTAGTTATAAATGCTGAGAAGTCCAAGATGGAGAGGTCGCATCTGGTGAGGATCTTCTTGCTTGTGGGGAATCTCTGCATACTCTGGAGGTGGTGCAGAGCCTCACACAATAAGGAAGCTGAACATGCTAGCACAAGTCTCTCTTTCTCTTTTTATAAATCCAACAGTTCCACTCCCACGATAACACATTAATTCATTAACCCATTAATCTGTTAATTCATGAACGGATTCATCCATTCAGGAGGGCAGAACTCTTATTATCCAAACACCTCTTAAAGGCCTTAACCCTCAATACTGCCAATTGGGGATTAAGTTTCAACATGAATTTTAAAGGGGGATAATATTCCAACTATAGCAATTAATTGTTTTTGAATTTTTATACCATATTTTTACTGTAACTTTTCTATGTTCAGATGTATTTAGATACAAAAGTATTTACCAAACTGTTTCAATTTTTCCCAATATTCAGTACAGTAACAGTTTAAAAGTTTGCAGCCAGGGAGAAAAAGATTACTACATAGCCTAGGTGTGTAGTAGGCTACACAATCTAGGTTTGTGTAAGTGCAGTCTACAATGCTCACACAATGGAGAAATTGCCTAACGATACATTTCTCAAAAGATATCCTCATTGTTAAGCATGATATTGACTATTGCCATAGTCAATGGTCTTATAACCTCAATGGATAATATTTTTGATAAAAATATATTTGAATCCATCTCATTTAATTTAGAAGGGTAAGAATGTTAGTTCAGAAATTCAAGAGTACCAAAAATATTAAAAATTTGAAAGTATGATCCTTAATTCACACTCTGGTGAATCGATAAGAAATTCATTAACAGTGACTATTGAGTCTAGGTCCATTTTCTCAGATTTCACCAAGTTCCAAGCTCTTACTCATTGCAGAAGACCACTCCAGTTAGTGGACATTTGTGCATGCTGGTTATTACAGTGATGTCCAAGGTGCTTTCTGTTTCAATAGCTCCGCTGCTTTTATGCAATAATTAAGAATGCATTTTTTTTGTATATTTGGAGCACCTGGGTCTTGAATTCAGCCTTTACTGATTCATCACAGTTATCTCTTCTGAGATCTTGCTACATCCTACCCCAGATGCTCCCAAAGAGCAATAAAGAAATATGCTCATTGTCTTAATCCACTTGGCTGCCTTAATAAAATACCACAGATTGAGTCACTTATACAACATAATTTTATTTTCCAGCATTCTGGAAGCTGAAAGTCTGAGATCAGAGTGTCAGCATGGTGGGATACAGGTTAGGGTTCTCTTCCTCACTTGCAGAAGTCTGCCTTCTTGTTGTGTCCTTGCATGACGAGAGAGAGAGAGAGAAAAAGAAAGAAAGAGGATGCTGTTTTTCCTTCCTATAGGGGCACTAATCCTATCATGACAGCCTCGCTCTCCTGACCTCATCTAAACCTTAATTACTTCTCAAGAGCTTCATCTCCAAATACCACCACATTAGGGGTTAAGTCTTCAACATATGAATTTTCCAGGGGGATACATTTCAGTCTGTAGTACTGAGTTGCATATTATTTATGTAATCTTCTCTCACCACATACACACATACACACAGACACACACACACACACACACACACAACCTGTGGCCTTTTTGAAATATATCTATTTTTGATTCTTGTTCTCAAAAATGCCTAACAGATTGCAATCCATTATTTTTCAGACAGCTACTACAGTATTACTATTACAAATAAAAATAAAATAATGAAGAATAATAAAAATCAGAAAAATATTAAATACCCTAGTATCATCCTGCAAGGAATGAGAATAGAATGGTGTGGGATATTAAAGGCTGGGTACAGTGGCTCACACCTGTAATCCCAGCATTTTGGGAGGCCGAGGTGGGTAGATCACCTGAGGTCAGGAGTTCGAGACCAGCCTGATCAATATGATGAAACCCCGTCTCTACTAAAAATAAAAAAAAATTAACCAGGCATGGTGGCACGCACTGTAATTCCAGCTACTTGGGAGGCTGAGACAGGAGAATTGCTTGAATCGGGAGGCAGAGGCTGCTGTGAGCCGAGATCATGCCATTACACTCCCGCCTGAGCAACAAAAGCAAAACTCCGTCTCAAAAAAAAAAAAAAAAAAAGAATGGTGTGGGATATTTTGTCAAAAATATTGTTGAGAGCTTTTTTATTTTGAATTTTATTTAAGATGGTAAGCAAAAGGCTTAGCACAATAGGTAATTATGAAATACTCTTGTTCTACCACCAGAACTATTTTTTTTACATTGTATAAAAAGGACATTCCAGTTTCTCAACAATAAATTGTGTTGCTCCATGTCACCTTCTGTTTAAATCAAAACCTCCTCCACTCCTTACAGTTCCTTATTTAATTGTTCTTGGAGCCATAATTTTAAGCCTATCAGTCAATTGAAGGGAATCAAAGATGCTTCAAGAAATTATACCTGGTTTAACCTCCAAGCGGTAAGTACTAATTTTATAAGAAGAAAACAGACATATCTATAAACTATTTTAAACAACCTAAATATGAATAATTATGCCCATATTAAGAAACTAGACTTTCTTCAAACACCCTTCAAGTGTCTTCTTTAATTAAACGTGAAATAAAGGAAATGTTCTAAATATTAAAGATTATTTTCATGTAAAAAAATCATTGTTATGATTCTTAATAATATTAATGGGCTCCCAATGTTTACAGAAATCTGGGGATAATGTCACAGAGACAAATTCTAAAACCATGGGCAAGCCGGGTGCAGTGGCTCACACCTATAATCCCAGCACTTTGGGAGGTTGAGGCAGGTGGATCACTTGAGTCCAGAAGTTTGAGACCAGCCTGACCAACATGGCGAAACCCTGTCTCTACTAAAAATACAAAAATTAGCCAGACGTGGTAGAGGGTGTCTGTAATCCCAGCTACTTCAGAGGCTGAGGCAGGGAGAATCGTGTGAACCCGGGAGGCAGAGGTTGCAGTGAGCCTAGATCGCACGACTGCACTCCAGGCTGGGCTACACAGAGCAAGACAGTCAAAAAATATTGTGAGGAAAAACAATAAAAGTTCCTTTTGAAAAAAAGAAATTTCGGTGCTAGATTTCTAGCTTCTCTGTCACGTGTTGAACATTAAGAACACTTACAAGAATAGTGAAAGCAGTAAAGTATGGCCTGGAAATCAATGAACTGATTGACATCAGACTGGAACTCTAGACCTAGGGTTAGCAAATGATTTTATGTTTGTTAGAGAGAAGCACAAGTTCAGGAGCAGTTTTACCTTGTTGCCTCATCTGAATCAGTTTGGGCTGCTGTAACAAAAATCCCATAGACTGGGTAGAGTAAACCATCAACATTGATTTCTAACAGTACTGGAGGCTGAAAGTTCAAGATCAGGGTGCCAGCACAGTCAGGTTCTTGGTGACAGCTCTCTTTCCGGTTTGCAGGTGGCTGTCTTCCAGTCATATCCTTCTAAAGTAAAGAACACAGAGAGAAAGCAAGCTTTCATGTCTCTTCTTGTGAAGTCACTAATACCATTGATGAGTGCTCCACCCTTATGACTTAATTACCTCCTGCAGACTTCAACTCCTAATACCATCACATTGCGGGTCAAGATTTCAAAATATAACTGGGGGGATACAAACATTCAGTCTATAACATCCTTCATAATTTTCACAAAGGTAACAAATGGTGATGCTGTAATAGATTAAATATGGTTGTTAAATAGGAGTATTATTTGGCATTTTCTAATGCCAGTTATAATTATAAAGAATATAGATTGATAAAATGTATAGTATGTAGGAATACTGACAAAAGGTAGAAAAGCTATTAATTGCTAAGCACTACTGAACCCAAATCTTCAGTGATTGCTAATATCAAAGAAAGCTTCATGCCACCATTATTACATTAGCCTCATACATCATAGAATCTCAACTTGTGAATTATGCTACCTAATTACCTTCTAATTATTGTCTTCCTTGTTGAAGCTTCGCCAGAATGGGAAATAGTTCTGTTTTGCTATTACCTCTTCTTACAAGTAAGTTTAGGATTACAGTAATAGCCCACTGAGGTGTTTCTTGTTGTTTACAGTTCTTCATCCTCTCAGTCACTACAACAATGTTCTCATTCAGTTTGATCATTTCAGCTCATTTAGAAAATAATGATATATATTTATACTAGATTATGCTCATTTAATAGAAGTCTAGAATAACTAGATGCAATTTTAGTATGAAACCTCCAAGATACTTGTAGCTTAAAGAGGACACTTTAAACACGACAGAACAAGTTTCTATAAAGTGGCATGTCAAACAGTGTGACTGTGTGGTAGTAATAATTTTGAGAAGAAGGAAGAATCTGTGAACTTCCTCACACCATTATTTGACAGTGCTCTCTCATGAGTTGTTCCAATTGCTGCTGCCAGAAGCTCCATTCTGTCCCTTCTTCCTGCACTGCATTTCAATTCCACAGATGTCCCTTCACCTCTCAAATCTTCTTCCATTTTCATTCCTTTCAGGGACTGACTTAGCAAATCCTCTCTATTTATATCTACAAATCTACCCATCCTGCATCCGTGCTATTGATAATTTCTTTCCAACAGCTTAAAGGGAACAGAGTTCCCTCTACCATCAAAAACCAACCTGTCCACAAATCCTCCCTTTTACCATCTCAAGTATTTTTCTTATTTAGATTATCTCATTCACACTATAAGCTTCTCGTTTCTGCAGTGCCTAGAAATATATTTTAACCCTTACATTTTCAAGAATAAATCCAAATAATATGAAAGCCCATCTGATCCCCACATTTCTGCATGACAACTACTCTACTTCGTTCATTGCCTTCAAATCTAAACTTCCCATAAGACAAACTTCTACACGCTATTTCCATTTCCTGTACCAACCATGTGAATTGCAGTCTTCATGTATTCTTGTTGATATCTCAACCATTACATCTAGACTGTTCTCAAACCAACCAGTCACTTCTGTTTGTTTGTGTCTATTGACAAATTTAAACATTTCAGCAGCCCTTAACTGAGCTATCAACTCTCTCCTTAAATTACCCATCTTTTCCCTGGTTTGCTCCCACTCTCAAGGTTTTTCAGCCATACTCCAAATTTCTGTAGACTCCCAGTCTTTCACTCTCCACATGGTGATGTTGCTTAGGGCTCTATTCCAAGCCTTCCTTTCTCCTTGACTTTTTTCTCTAAGGGATCTGAACTACCTTGGCAATTTTGAATGCCATGTATATGCCAATGTTTCACAAATAGTGATTCTCATTTTAAGTTCCAAGGATGTATACGTCCGTGTGTGTGTGTGTGTGTGTGTGTGTGTAGATATATAGCAGCTATCTAATTCTACTTATCAAAGGTATCTCAAGTTTCTTGAAAGCAAACTTTGTGGTAGCTCTGATCTTAATTTCACTTTAACCATTTCAGTGTCATTAGCAGCCAATCAGTTCTTAATCTTTGCCAGTAATTTAATCCAGTAAAAGATGACCTCCATAACTAGTCTCTATCGTCTCATTGTTTTTATTAAATACATAATTTTAAAAACTCCACAATTAGCAATTTTAGATACATATGCTAATCAAATTATGAATTACTCATTTCCTTTGCTAGAGATTCTATTGTATCAGGGAAGGATTATGGCCATCTCTATTTAATTCATCTCTCCTTACTGTACCAAGCAGGGTAGTTGGGATTTCTTTGAACTAGTCCCTACTTTAATTTGATTGCATTAAAGAGAAATTTTTCCAAGAAATAAGATTTTTTTCAAAGGAGTTCACAAACTGCATGGAAATCCACATTACCTTTTGCCTTCTGGCCAAATTTTACTTTTAAGACACACTTACTCAAAAAGTTAGCTGTCTGATTTTGAAGTCCAGTTCTGCCTCTCCCTGGATTTGTTATCCTTGGTAAGTTACACAGTGTTTTTATGCCCTAATTTTCTTGTCTGTAGAACAGAGACAATATCTCACAGGGAAATTACCTCAGAGTATTGCTATAGAATTATTTACAGGAAACACTTGGAAAAATTCTTAGAGCATAGTGACCACCCAGTAAGTGCTGTGTTAGTTGTCATCACTGTCATTACCAGTATCAACTTCACCAGCAGCATCATTTTCATTTTTAATAATGGCATAATACATACTACTACTATTCTACTTAAATAATACAGATGTCTTATTTATCTTCATATCCCTATGTATTAGTTATCTCTTGTTGCTGCAGTAATTTACCAGAAACTTGGTGAATTAAAAAAGAAAATTCTTTTGTTACAGTTCTGTAGGTCAGAAGTCCAAAACAGGTCTCACTTGCCCAAAATCAAGCTGTGAGTGGGGCTTTTTTTTTTCTGGAGCCTCTATGGAATAATCTGTTTCTTTGTATTTTCCAACTTCTGGAGGTTGCCCACATTCCTTGGCTGTGCCTCCCCGCTTTCTGCTTTCAAATCCAAAAGTGTTGCATCTCTCTGTCCTTCTCTGCAGTCATTTCTCTCTTTCTGACTGCAGCCAGGAAAAGTTCTCTGTTTTTTAGCACTTATGTGATTATATTGGACCCACCTGGATAAGCCAGGACAGTCTTCTCATTTGAAGATCCTTAATCTTCATCACGTATGCAAAGTCTCTTTCATTCTGGGGATTAGGCAGTTGATACATTTGGAGAGCCATTATACTGACTGCAATACCTTTTTTTCTAACATACTCGATGACATATGAAGTGATGATAGGTGATAAAGCTGCTAATAGAAATTCCTTATATCTTTGCATAGAATAGAGCCTGCATCTGCAGGAGTTACCTAAGAGCTTCAGTTCATAAGGGCTATCAGCCTGGTGGTTAGGTGTGCAGGTCCTGGTCTGAAGACTAGATTCACATGTGCTGCCCTAAAACCCTTTAAAGTCCCCAGGGTTGTCTTAAAGCCTGGATATGTAGGATCCTGCCCAGCACTCGGGACTACTGGAATAGTTCTGGACCCTGGGCTAGGACTGGACCTTGGGGCTGCAGGTGTCATCCTGACACTGGGTAAGTTTAAAGCCTATATTCAAAGGATGCAGCTTTGAAGCTGAGTCTGCAGCACCTGGTCTGATGATCAGGGTTGTGGTGGCCAGCCTGCTACTGGGGTGTCAAAAGTCTGAGTATGTGGCAACTGGCCTGGCACTGGGGCATTCCAAAAGCCTGGGGTGACTGGGGATAGCTGAGTGCTACAGTTGGTCCAGAGCCTGGGTTCACTGAGGTTGGTCTGGTAGTGGGACAGTTTCAGAAACTGAGTCTGCTTGGCAAGTCTGGAACCCAAGGCTGTGCAATCCAGCCTGGCTCTGGAGAAAGCCTTGAGGCTTAGTCTGTGGGTACTGGATGGGAGTATGGGGGTTAAAGGTCCCTGCCTGGCTCTGCTGGATTATCCTGGGATGAGCCTGGTGTTGGAGTTTGAAGGAAAGTTTAGCGCTCATTTCCCTATTCGTTCCCTAAGCGGATGATTCTCTCCATGATGTCCTTCCTGGGTTTGAGGAATGAATAATGCAAGTAACATAAAACTGTTCTTCCTATCCTCTTTAATGTATCTTTTCCTCTTTCTGTGGTACTCAACACTTGGTAAAGTGTTGTAATTTATTACATAGTTTCCATAGGTCTTGTGAAGGTATTTTTGTATGTGTGTATAATTGTTCAAATTGATGTTCTTACTGTGGGGGTGTGTGGGGGGGTGTCAAGCAATGGAAATTCCTATTCCATGGTCTTATTGGTAACCCAGTGTCACATAATTCTCTTCTACATACATGAACATTCTCTTGAGGGAAGGCAATTTAGTTCAAAACACTATGCGTTATTGTTAATGTGTTAAAAAATAACTTTAAATATTAAATTGTCACCAATATGCATTAAAATTCAAAGAAGCTCACAGACTCTGAATTTAATTGCAAATTTAACCTCACTGGCCAGTATTTTCTGATAGGAAGCCATCGAGAAGCCATTATGTTAGGGACTAGAAAACTCATGGCAGTTTGAAATGTTTTCATAGTATGAGGAGTAAATTTTCTTTAGGGGATGAGGTTGGTTAGGATTGTGATACTGTTAGATTCTTTGGGGAATTATGTAAGTGTTATTTTCAGTTCATTAACGCCTCTCCCTTATTTACTGTTAGGGTGGCTTTAAGGTGATTGCTACTGAGAAAAGGGTTGATTAAATAAGAAAAATGTATCTATATTAATGAAGACAAGAAGAAGCATAGAGATAGATTAATAAATAATTAAAATAAACTAAGTTATTTATGTATTAGTAGGGAAATTGTGCAAGGATGAGAATAAAATTTGATAGATTCTATAGCCAATAGCAAAGGTGATTGATAGCATTTTGCCAATTTTTCTACAGCCTTCTTAACGTTTCTAAGTATTCATATGAAAAATAAGCAGTTCCTAGACACTGTAGAGGTTATCTCTTTCCATGTCTTAGCAGCATATTGCTGTTTGTGAACTCAGTCATTATTCTTTAATTTTATTGAAATTTAAATGTATCTGACATATTGAACCTAAGTTGACATTTTCTGCTCTTTCTAAAAAGAAATGTAAAAGTAATAGATGAATGCATTCTCACTGTAAAATATTCATATAATACATAATTATAGAGAATAAAGTTTAAAGTCTTTATGACACTAGCCTATCACATCTCTAATCTCCCCACAGACAGAAGCATGGCTAAAGTTTTGGGAGTCATACACACCCACCGCCCCCCCCCCCACACACACACATACACACACGGACACACACACGGATTACCCAGATATTTAATTTAAATATAGTATAGTTAAGCATACTTAAATATGATGTAATAATTATAATCAGCATGCATATTTTGATACAAAGACTTAATTATTCCTTGAAGATCAATTTCTACAAGTGGTATCCTGTCAATCATTTTTTCCAGCACTATGCATTTCTTGACCACGGCAGTATTCAATTTTCACAGTGAACACCATTCTGCCATAGTTCTTCAATAATTACTATTCTTTTTAAGTATAACATATTATTACTTTAATATGAATTTTCTTTAAGCTAAAAATTGCTAGATCTTTGTATTTGTATTAAAAAATGAAAATACCATACAAATTAATGTTATAATGACATATTTTCAATTAAAGGTGAAGCATTCACCAGTTATCTTTCCTTATTGTCTGCATTTATTTAAAAATTATTTATCAAATGAATGCTTATTATTTGCCAGACTGAGAATAAAAATGTAAACAAGATCATTAAAAAGTCCTGCTTTTTTATTTTTCTCTTTCAACTTTTATTTAAATTCAGGTGGTATATGTGCGTGTCTGTTATCTAGATATATTGTTAAATACTGACGTTTGGGGAAGTTAAGCAGAGTGGGGCTTGGTTTGTACTTGGGTGGGAGGCTGCTTGGGAAAGAGTCAATTAGAAAAAGAGGAAGACGGCCGGGCGCCGTGGCTCACGCCTGTAATCCCAGCACTTTGGGAGGCCGAGGCGGGTGGATCACAAGGTCAGGAGATCGATACCATCCTGGCTAACATGGTGAAACCCCGTCTCTACTAAAAATACAAAAAATTAGCCGGGCGTGGTGGCGGGTGCCTGTAGTCCGAGCTACTCAGGAGGCTGAGGCAGGAGAATGGCGTGAACCCGGGAGGCGGAGCTTGCAGTGAGCCAAGATCGCGCCACTGCACTCCAGCCTGGGCGACAGAGCGAGACTCCATCTCAAAAAAAAAAAAAAAAAAAAAAAGGACAAATATGAAGATGAATGAATAAATAACATACAGTATGACATATGGTGATAAGAACTACAAAGAAAAATAAAACGGAGAAGGGAGAAATTGAATCTAGGTAAGAAGAGGATAGGCTGCAATTTTAAATATAGAAGTAAGGAAAGGTCTACTTATATTTAAGCAAAGAGCTTAAGAAATTACATAGATATCTCTCATAAACCTTTTTAGGCTGAGGACCCGAAGCAGGAATGTGACTGATATGTTAAAGATCATCAGGATTGCTGGTCTGACAGGAAGGAGTGAGCTGGGAAAGGAGAAGCAGGCAGTGAGATTAAATGGATAGCATGTGTAGCACCATGCACAACCTGTTAGACAATCACCAGAACCTTGATTTTAACTCCAAGTCATATGAGAAGCCAAACTTTTGAAGGATATGAAGGAGGAGAGTGACAACATAAATCGCATGAGTAAAAGCTCATACCGGCTTTGGTGTTGAAAACAGACCACAAGAGATTAGATTATAAGTAATAAGAACAATATTAGTGTATTGTATTTTTCTAAGTATGACATGATGGCAGTTATTTCTAAAGGGTTAGAAACAGTGAAAAATATTAAGATTCTAATTATATGGAGAAGGCAGAACTTCTAAAATTTATTGCTGCATTAAAGCAGAATTTGAAAGAAAAAAAAAGTGAAGACATTTGAGCTTGACTTCTGCGTATGTTGACTGAGGAAATGGAAAAATGTAATTGCCATTTGTTTAAGTGCGCGAGGGAGAAATTGTGCTATGGAAGAAGGGTGAACTTGGGGTTAGTCATCATTGTGGCTCTGAACATTTACTTTTGAGTTGTTGATAGAGGCAGGGATGTTAAGAACGCTATAAAATATTTAAGTCATGAGATCAGAGAAGTGCTGCCTGGAGACATACATTTGGGAAACAGATGGCATTTAAATCAATGAGACTAAGTGAGGCTGAAGAAGAGTTCCAAGGGTTGAGTGCTGAAGACTTCCAGTCTTTAGTGGTTGGGGAGCTCAATAGAAATAAGCAAGGAAAACTGAGAAGGAGCCAATGAAGTAGAAAGAAACCTGGAATCGGCTTGAAGCCAGGCAACAAAAGCATCTCTAGGAGGATGGAGTGCCTAAGTTAAGAAAATACATATGAAATGTCAAGTAAGATAAGGACAGAGAATAAAAGACTGACTGCCACTGGCAATTTTTACAAGAACAGTTTATGTGGAGTTATCGATGTGAAATCCTGATTAAGATAGGAGACATAACAGTATGTTTCTATGTAGATAGAAATCATCTACCAATGTGGAAAAATATAGTGCTCTGAAAGAGAAAGGAGAGAATTATAAAGTGATAACTTTGAGTAGGAAGAATGCAATCTAGCACTTTGCTACTCAAAGCAGGGTCCATGGACAGGGAGCTTCGTCACTGTCTAAGAATTTGGTAGAAATGCAGACTCTCAGCACTTCCCAATTATTGAGTCAAGATCTTTATTTATCAAGATCTTCATATGCACTTTATAGGCACATAGGGGTCTCAAATGTATCACATACTACAAAATTGCATATTGGTGAATTATTTGATAGCATTTTACTTCTGGCACTTAAATAAATTATTCTAAAATCAGCCCATAAATCAATTTTGTTTAGAAAAGAAGAATGAGATGTAGAGTAATGTGAACTGTTACGAGTTTTCCCATGTTGTTTTGGCTCATAACAATAAAACAGGTTGTTCTCTCTTCTTGGAGCATTCTTTTATTCCACTGCCTTTATTCAGAGATGACGTCCCAGACACTCTTTCCAACTTCTACACCAGATTTCTTTCAGTAACCATAGCTTCATTAGCATACAGCATGTCTCCTTAGTAGTACTAATCACAAATAGGGGACAGTAAACAATTGTGAAGTACCCTGGGATCCCTTGTTATAGGAACGTTGACATTTCTTCAAAGTGACTGTAACCACACTATTTAGTACATTAGGAGAAAAAAAAATCAAAACCATTTTCTTTGTTAAAAAATGTATATCAATGTGGATTCGCTTACTAAACCACTTCCATATGTTCAAATGAAGAATATGAAAAACTGTTAAAATATTGATCACTTTTGCATACCTCTTATTCTCCTTTTAGTAATTTTCCTCTCTTTTGTAGTTTGTCTCCAAATCTGATGATTTCTTACAGAGCATATTAAGGAATTTAAATAACTAGCATAGTAATCCTTCTGATTAGCAAACAATGAGTGCATGCATTTATTTCATTTTTTCTCAAACTTTTAAAAAAATATTTATTATTCAACAGCAAAACTAACGAAAATAGTTAATGGCAAAAATTCAAAAAACTTTGAATTTTCTAACTTCATTTGAATATTTTTGCAGTTAAAGGTTTACTAGCATAACTTGGTGACAAGAATATAACAATTTTTACAATTTTATAACTTAATAACGCATTGCTAGCAGAATGGCTAAAATAATAAAATGATATTATTAAATGATAATGAGGATGTAAAATAACTGAAACTTTCACATATTCCTGGTAGAAATGAAAATGATACAGTCAATTATAAAATTATATATTTGTTACTTACCACTCAACAATCCCAATCCAAGGTGTTTATTCAAGAGAAATTACATGTTCTCACAAAAGCCCCTAATAACCATTGATAACAGCTTTATTCATAATCACCAAAAAGAAGATACAATCCAAATGTCCAGCAAATGGTGAATGGATAAACATATCATGATACATTCACACAATATATAAAATAAAAGAATTGTTATATGCAACAATGTGCAGGTATCTCAAAAGCATAATGCTAAGTGAAAGAAGCCAGACAAAAAGAAAGACTACAGCCTGAATGATTCTATTATATAATAATAAGAAAAAGACAAAATTAAAGGCACAAGAATCACATTAGTGGTTCCAGGAACTAGGGGTGGAGGGTAGAGAAAAGGGACTTTATAACATAGACAGTAAGGGCACTTTAGGGGTACATGTGTTTGTAGTTTCATATATATATATATATAAATACTACCCTGCTTAACTGTACAGTTTGATTAATTTATATATATAAATATACTCTGCTTAACTGTACAGTTTGATTAATATATAAATATATATAAATTATATGTAGTATATATGTATATATGTATATATATAAAACTATATGTATAATAAAGTTGTTATGAATATATATGTAGTTATATATACACATATATACATATATACTGTATACAATTTGTATATTTTATATATATAAATTAAACTGTACAGTTAAGCAGGTTATATTTTACTCAATGTAAATCTGACTTCTAAAAAATGAAAAACCCAATGATAAATATTTTTTAATTTTTTTATTTAAAAAAATTTAGGGGTACATAGTAGGTATATATATTTATGGAGCACTTGTGATGTTTTGATACAAGCATGCAATGTAAAATAAACACATCATAGAGAATGGGGTACCTATCCCCTCAAGCATTTATCTTTTGAGTTACAAATAAACCTGTTACATTTTAAAATGTAATTTAAAATACACAATTAAGTTAGTATTGACTACAGTACTGCATTATTTCATTTTGCAAATGTTGCTGACTTTAGGCTCTAAGATATTGTGTCTACATATTCCCATTGCAAGCATCTTTAAAAGAGACAGCCCTGGCTAGAAAGTAGTTTTGTTATTTTCCTATACAAACCCCTTATATCTGGCTATGATTCTAAAACCATTTCTAAGATGTGGCCATGTCATTGAAAATGAGACAATTTACATTTTATCAATTTGGTTCAATGATGTATTATGGATTCTTGTATTTCTTGATGTAACTTCTTGCCGAGCTGGCTTTGTTTCTTCATCATTTCTAATCATAATTCATAAATATAATGTATATAATTTGCTAGCTGAGTGCATAGGAAGTCTTATCAGCATTTAATAAATGTGATGCATTGTTCTTATTACTGTTGTATTTTAATAATTAATTTGCAATCAATTATTGCACAAGTTAACATGTATAAAGCATATCATCTTTGTGAGAGGAGGCATCATGGTTTATTCATGACTGCTGTGTCCTCAAAGTCTAGCATGGTGCTGTGCAAAAAATTAAATAAATAAATATAAATTTCTAAAATGAGAAACTATTCTAAAATTAATAAAGTCTAAACAAATAAGCCGAAAATAATAATAGTATTAAATTAAAATGAATAATAGATAAGAGACTAAGCCTTGAACTCCTACTTTGTATTAGTGCCTCATAGAAAAAAAAAACCTAGACATTAACATAGAAGAAAACTGCTAAATTTAAGCATGTATTATAAAAGACATTTTAAAAATTACCATCTAGCAATCTATATTATTATTGGCCATAGGACATTTTCTACTTTTCTTCAGTGAAAAGATGCTGTGTTCATTTCAAGGATTTAAATAATACTTGAACCTATACATTCAAGTTGTCCTTTTATTAGCATTATCTCTAGAACAACAGGATTCATTTTTACAAATGGACTTTCCCCCTCCTCTGAGATGTGGCTTCTGTAAATGTAAGGGGAAGGCTGTGCCTTACATAAACTTGAAGAAGATGGTAAGAACAGGTTCATTAACTTGGATTTCTCTATATTCCCATGACCTCAGCCCAACTTGTCACTGCTTGCTTGATTGGCATCCATGGCTAATGCCCCGGGTTGCCCCGTCACTTTGTTAGACCCATTAATCAACCTCAGCAACTCAGCTTCCCCTGGCTCTTGTGGCTGCTAAGTCCCAGTTGCGTCCCACATCTTGCCTCCCTCAGTGGTACAAGTCCCTCATTCTGCTGCAGAGAGCCCAGTGATATACTCACTTGCTCTCAACTCCATGTCCACCCCTCTCAGGAGTGGGATAAATATTGGTGTCAACTTCATCTGACCCATTGTACCTATAGGGTCATCTGTATCTACACACATGTAGGGACTGGGAAAGCCAGAGGGCAAATGTCCTTCCAGAATTCTAAATAGTAGATGGAAATACAAGAGGTTTCCTCTACCTTTAAGTTTTATTCCTCACTTGTCTTAGACCACTGCATAGCCCTGAGCTGAAACTCAAAGAGGAAAAAAGTGGTTCAGGTTGTCCCAATTTGCAGTCCTCCTGCTCTCTTCTCTCCCTTTTGTCTCATTTCCACAATTCCCAGGCTCTGTGGAGATTTTCTTTTTTATTAAATTTTATAACAAGATTTTCCTAATTTCTGTGAATTCTCATAAAGAACAGAACTCATGATTTCATTGTCACAGGAAGAATGTTATTTGCTCTAGACAGGAGGAAGATTCTAGGAGATTGTCTCCAGATTCAGCTCCTGGTATGTTAATAGAAAGTTGAGGGAGAGGGAAGAAAGTCATAGAACAATTTTAAATATCCTCCTTCAAGGCAACAATCTGTGTGAGATTTGTGGTGCCCTGAAAAATTCTATTCAGCATATTAGAAACTGAATGTTGTCTATTTTCCTTTATAGTCCTATAGAGAACCATATTCTTAACTCTAGGCGAGACATTTCTTAGAACGTCCAGTGTAAAAGTCATGTACTCAGAGCAGGTGGGAATAAGAGTAGAGAGGCATATTAAAAAAGTAAGTTCACAATTCTACCCCATTGCATCTGGATATTTTCTTTATAGTATTTATCATATGCTATGTTGTGTTATTTATACATTCACTTGCTTAGAGTCTGACTCCTCCACTGGAATGTAGACTCCATGACATAAATGATTTAAAGCAGTTCATTCCATCTCTGGTGTCTTCAACTGCACTTGGCAAAGAGCAGATAGCTTTAGAATCAATAAATAGAGAATAGGAAATGGTTTCAGCAGCTTTAAAAACATTCATAGAAAATTGCTAGGAGACTGACAGAATTCTGGAATCTAAAAATCAATCATAATCATGTTTGTTTCTCAGTCCATGACTCTGTGGAACTCATGACTTCATTTACCACATTCCTTCTTTCTACTTAGCCATTTCCCTTGCTGAAACCTCCTCTATAGTATGCTTTCTGAACACTTATATTTTTAATAGGCACATAATTTCTGTGTATTGTATTTCATGTGCCTTTCTGCTTAACAAATTAACTGTTTTTCATTTTTTATCTGTGTTTCTTACTTTTACATAAGCAGCGATGCAATCCCCAGGGAATAGCAATTTCTTTTCTGGGACAGTTGACTATGGAAATAAAGTCAGCAATGTGTTTCATAATGCTTTTATAATGTTAAAAGCATGCAAGTGTTTTATAATGCTAAAAACATGCAAGTTGGTTTGATTTATTCATTATTATCCAAAATAAAGATCTTGACTTGATTTCTAAACCACTTTACTTCATCTGTCATTGGTCTTCTATTAATGGCTGTATTTTGGTCAGGTATTGAGAAACCATGTTCCAGTTTGCTCTGACCGGAACTTTAGGACTATGCAATACAGAGCATGGTGACATATATAGAAAAGGAACTTTCCGTAGTGTTAGTTAGAGGGGAGCTTCCTGAGTTGTTCTATAAATTATTGACTTTCATTTAAGTGATTTTAATCATTGTCTTAAAATTGTAAAATATTTTTATTAACTGAGGAATGGAAAGCATTATATTAACAGAGTTTCTTGTATTAAAATGTACTAACATGTCTAGGGTAAACTGTATTGTAGGCAAATTATTCTTTAAATACTTTAAATACTACTGAATTAGTTTTGCTACTTTATTTTAAATATTTGTGTAAATATTTACAAGTGAGATTTTCCTTATTTGTGTTGCAAGATAAGCCTACATAATCAAGGTTATTTTAACTTAAAAAATGAGACACTTCCCACTATTTATTTTGCCCCTAGTATATTCTAATCGTGAAGTTTCTGTTACTCAGGCCAGGCATGGTGGCTCACACCTATAATCCCAGCATTTGGGAGGCCAAGGTAGGAGGATGGCTTGAGATCAGGAGTTTGAGACCAGCCTGGGCAACATAGCAAGACCCTGTCTCTACAAGAGTTTCTGTTACTTAAAGGTTTGAAAGGACTCTGCAGTGAAACTCTCCAAAGGTTTCAACTTAAATAACTCTTGAAATTTATTCTATAGCTACTAGTTTACTCATATTATGTACTTTTTGTATGAGCTTGTTTGGTATTTATTTTGTTGAGGGGAAAAAGTGGAAAGTGGTATCAGGAAAACTTATGATTCCTAGATGCAATCCCACTGAATTTCACGTGCTTAAAATAAAATTAACATTTCAATATGTATTTTACCATACCTTGTTGAAGTACTGAAAGAAATTTCAAACATGGCTTAGAAGCGGTTCTGTTTGTTTTGGTATGACTTTGTTTTTATCTGTCTAAGGAAAAAAAAGGGAAACCAGAAGGGTATGACGATTTTTTTTTCTTATAATTACATTTTACATAAATGCACATAATATTCATGTTTATTATATATGATTTGTATATATTTTTGCATATTTGACTTATGGATACAAGTATAAAGTAATATGTTTACAGTTGAACTTATCACCAAATAAAAACAACACCGAGCTCAATGAAAAAAATTAGCACCTTCTTGGATATTCTCTATTATGACTTCTTTCTTTTCTTCCAAGACAACCATGAAATTCTAATGCCATAAAATACACTTCAGACACAGTAAGGGGAACATCACACACCGGGGCCTGTTGTGGGGTCGGGGGAGTGGGGAGGGATAGCATTAGGAGATATACCTAATGTTAAATGAGGAGTTAATGGGTGCAGCACACCAACATGGCACATGTATACATATGTAACAAACCTGCACGTTGTGCACATGTACCCTAAAACTGAAAGTATAAAAAAAATACACTCCGCAAATTTTGTAGAGACAAAGTGAACCGAATGTATTACCTTGGCTCAAGAATATTTTGTTCAACATTATTTTTTGTGAGATTCAGGCATGTTACAGCAATGCTTAATTTTCATTGCTACATAGTATTCAAGTATATACTATATTAGCAATTATTTATTTACTCTACTGTATGTGGATAATCAGTTTTTTTTCCAGTTCTGTGCTCTTACACATATTATTACTCTTATGTACACTTCGCTACACATATCTATGTTTGTTTATTCATCTACCTAGGAGTTGAATTTAATTTGTTTGGAATAGAACTTTTCTTTGAGAAATAATTTCTAAAAATGAAAATGTGTACTTAGATTGCATGCCTATTGAATTATATTTTATATGTTATATAGTATGTTATAATTAAATACTAACTGCATATTTTTTCTGAGCCATTACAATCATATTATTTGTATTTCTCTGAATATTATCATGAGTTTGAACATGCTTTCATATATTTTTAACTATGTGGGTGCTGTTTTATATACTTTGTTCAGTTTTCACTTGTATCATTTTACATTGTTCATGAATGTTTATTATGAATGTTACCATTTTTCTTATGGAGAAAAGCATTCATTATTTTCTCATTATTTGATTATATATCATCTTTAATATTTATTTTTATCTTATTAATAAATGTTATTTCCCTTTATATTTTTCTCTTGCTCAAGAATATTACCACAACATAGGACATAGGATTGTAAAGATATTTCCATAAATTATTTGGGTTTTTTTAGAGTTTATTGTAACTGTCTTACAAGTCTGAAATGTATTTTTATTCCTACCATTACTTCTACCTTAATGGCAATAAACAACAAAATCAGCTATTAAACAGTACTGATTATTAAAATATGCTTTACTGAAGAATGGAAATATATTTATCATTTATTAAGTGCTCTTATAGAGGATATACTTATTGAATCTCACTTTATTTGTATTCATTTATTTTTCTGTTACTATAAAATTATTATAACTTATTGACTAAAATAGTTTTATAGAAAGTTCCAACCAGTAGGCCATGTCTTCTTTATGAAACTTTATATAATGTTAATTAATTAATTTAATCCTCATATAAATATTTTCAGTTAAATTATGAGTTCTGATTGAAAACATAGTACATTTATATATTATATTTTGCAAATATTGATTTTTTCATTGTTAGATTTTTTTCCCTGAAACATTGTCTGTATTTCTATTGGTTTATGTCTTGTCTCATGCTGTTTAATAAGGTTTAGTTTTATATATGTAATATGAATTAAAAATGATCTCACTTTCATTAAGTGTATTCAAGATTAAATTCAATGAAGTAAACTGCTTACAAGGTTCATGAAACATAAAAAAGTTAGTAGATGTAATACAAGTTTAATATAAATGCTATCAGAATTAACAAATTAATAATTAGTAATATGATCAAAAAATAAAAATTATATATTGTATAAGAATTATAAAGTTACCTTTCACAGTTCAGCTCAAAAAAGGGACTGAAAGAAACTATCCGAGTGTCTTAATTTTACAAATGAAAAATCAAATTTGGTGAGTTTAGGTGACCTAATCATACCCCAGCATAGGACAGCAATTAGAACTGTCAGAAATCCAGTTTTCCTGATCAGAGTCCTACCTCTTGTATTTATTACCAAGCATAAAAACATTGAATAACTTTTATTTCTACAAGTGTCCTTGAGAAATGAAGTCCTATAGTAATGCTTGTTACAAATCTGTGTAAAGATCAAGTGCACGGGCACAAATAAAGGCAAACACACAATTTTAATTAAATAATAAATTAATGAAATATAATTCACCTAACAAGAAATCTAAGTATGTGTTTATATCTGAGAAAATGTTCATCTCCCTAAAAATTACCTATTGAAAATCAATTACCAGTAGATAAGGAGATCAGGGAAAAATATAAGAATATAAGAATATAAGAATATAAGAAGAGTACATGCTAAAAAGGTTGAATTCTAAACTTTGCAAGAGTAGAAGAGTGTGAGATATTATGAATATATATTGTTAAAGATAAAAGCACAGAGCTTTATCTAAAGAGGTTATTCAAAATTCTTTAGCCAGTGCATGTACTAGTGCAAAACATACAGGAATGTTGAATAAGAAAAGTGGATTATAACCAGTTATAAAATGTATCTGTTCTCAGCATATTTCTAATAATAATCACTGCTATTACATTGAACCCATTCTACTTAGGCAATGTATTTTTATTTGACTAAAAATTAGATTTAACACTCTAAATTAAGCAATGGCTAAGTTAATTGCAATGTTAGCTTCAAGAGATAATAGTAGTCAAAGAGTACAATTATGTTCTAGGGTTCTAAAGATCTACTGTTCTAGAGATCTAATATGCAGCATGGTGACTGTAATTAATAATACTGCACTCTGTACACAAAATTTGCTAAAAGAGTAGATCTTAAGTGTTCTCACAAAAAAATAGGTATTTATGTGAAATGATGCACGTGCTAGCTAGCTCGATTTTGGTAATCATTTCACATTGTATATGTATATTTCAATAAGTTTATTAAAAACATGAAAAAACAACTTATACATAATTTTAGGTTAATATGGATGACATACATGCAATACATTTTGAATGATATTTTCAGATTGACATACCCTTATGTAGTAATACATACATATCACTGAGACAATTCTTCATTTAACTTTCTCAGTAAGTATATAATTAAATCTTTATTATTTTCTTAGTGTACAGGTTTTAATTTTTATTTAGTTTTTTTCAACCTCATACATTTCCATCTCACATAATACCAGGAGAGAGGCATAACATCTAATGAAAAATCATAAAGTAACTTAAGGAGTCACTAAGCATTGTTCTGACAGACTCAGGGATAACAGAAGAATAATTCCCGCCATTCAAAAGCTTGATTCAGGCCTATTGAGTAGACTGGCACAAGATACTCTATCAACTGTTGTGAAGTTTTTTTATACTACAAACACAAGAGGAACGTGTAGTCTGTGAATTACAGTGAACAGTCATATACACAGAACAAAACATAATTAGTCAAGAGAAAATTTAGAAAAATTCAAGAAAATTTTAAGAAAGCTGTTACAAATATTGAATATTTAACATACATACATTTAAACCTATGCAGTTATTTCTTCAAAAACATATAAGTGATGTTGGGAGAATGTAAATATCTTAGATTTGAATTATGCAAAATAATTAGATAAATATTTTTGAAAAGAACAAAAACTCCACAAAAATTGGAAGATATTTAAAAAATTATAAAATAAGTTAAAAGTTAAATGATATTGTTATTACCAACAAAACTAATAACTGAAGGTACATGAAAATAACTCTAATAACAACTTGTAATGTTTTCTGAATGTTTTCAGGAAGCAAGTGATAACCTTGAACATTAAATAAAAATGTCTAGGAAAAATAATCTCAAAATCCCTCCTTATAATATTGAAAGTAGGATTTCTGAAAATTCTAATATTTTTTAAAGTGCCTGAATTTCTGAGATGATGAATATCAACCTCTTCTTTACCTAAAAACACAAAGATAAAAAATAAAAAATTAGCCTGCCATGGTGGTGCGCACCTGTTAGTCCCAGCTACTCCAGAGGCTGAGGTGAGAGGATCGCTTGAGCCTTGGAGGTGGAGGTTGCAGTAAGTCATGATTGTGCCACTGCACTCCAGCCTGGGTGGCAGAGCAAGAAAAAAAAAATCTCAAAACCTGGGGATCCTAATGAGAATAAATTTCAAATACTCTTCTTTCTACAGAAATTATTATGATGGGATTCTAGAACGCTTTTCCTTTGTGTCTCATGGATAGAATAGAAGTGTTTCTGTTATTCATGTATTATTATCCAGGACAACTTATCACTTTAACGGTGAAAAAACCTGGACCAAAATAAAGGCTTTGTATAGTAGAACAGTTAAGAAAGAAAGAGAGAAATGAAGGTGGGAGAAAGAGAAAGAGAGAGAGAGAGAGAGAGAGAGAGAGAGAGAGATACAGATACATCCTGTTTAATTTGTTACTGAAGCAAATATTAAAATTCAGTAAATTTTCTGAAGAAAAAATTAGGCATCATTACAGCATATTAGATCCTAAGACTACTTAGAAATTGGTCATTTATAGCATTTAAGCAGTCAACAAGTCCAGTTATCAGAACTAGGGTATACATTTTAAAAGATACTTAACATATATATATATATGAAAGAGCTCCTCTTCAGTCTCTTTCTATAGTCAGAGTTAGTCTATGAAATAAAGAGCAAGCCAGCTCCAGCAGGCAGGTCACATGTCTTTATCTATGGTATGGTGGCAGATGCTGGGAGGTGGGTAGATTCACTGGGGGAAATAAAAAGCGACCACACTCATGTTTACATCATAGCATTGCTTCAAAAGCCACTGTAACTAGTAATATAAGAAGTATTTAATATCTATATTTATTCATTGTATCTGAAGTCTGTGGAGCAGAGACCAGAGGTATTATTACTTGCATCAAGACCCACATTGGTACCCTAAACTCAGATCTGTTGTCTTCTTATGTGATGCAATGATAACCAGATATCACCCTGCTTTTACAGTAGTAAAACCATAGGGAAGGAAACCTAAAATTATAAACCTAGGAGTTTATATAAGGCAAATGTTCACATGCCACACTGTTCTCATAAGCTAGAAATATGATACCATCTGAATATGATCCTATGTTCACCTATAGGTTATCAATGCACATTTAACTTGTGCATTTAACTACAATGGAAATACTGTTATGCAGAGCATCTTGGAAGCTTATGTAAAAAAGATCGAGAAGAAAAAAGACTATATTCCTTTTGTACATGTATGCAACAATTAAGTAATGGATTTTCGCTCAACAAACTTGCAAAGCACATGTTTGTAAGTAGAATTCACTAAAATTTATTATTTTGTTTTGTTCAGATAAGACCCATTCTTCATTCCAAACTGCAAAGTAGTGTTTATTTCTTACCAAGTTTATGGAGATGCAAGGCCTTATACACACATTTTAATTTATTTAATCTAACAGAATAATAATAGGTAATAAACACTACTAGAAACAGCATTGAATGAAGTACTCAAGTAGGTTATTTTTGCTTATTTGCATTTAAGACTGTCCTGTAGTTTCATGCATGGGCAAAAAAAAAAAAAAAAACTTCTTTAAATTTCATAAGGAACCTAAAAAGAGCCCGCATAACCGAGACAATCCTAAGCAAAAGAACAAACCTGGAGGCATCACACTACCGGACTTCAAGCTATACTACAAGGCTACAGTAACCGAAACAGCATGCTACTGGTACCAAAACAGATATATAGACCAATGGAACAGAAGAGAGGCCTCAAACATAACACCACACATCTACAACCATCTAATCTTTGACAAATCTGACAAAAACAAGCAATGTGAAAAGGATTCCCTATTTAATAAATGGTGTTGGAAAAACTGGCTAGCCATATGCAGGAAGCTGAAATGGGATCCCTTCCTAACACCTTATACAAAAATTAACTCAAGATGGGTTAAAGACTCAAAAGTAGGACCTAAAACCATAAAAACCTTACAAGAAAACCTAGGAAATACCATTCAGGACATAGGCATGGGAAAATACTTCATGACTAAAATGCCAAAAGCAATGGCAACAAAATCCAAAATAGACAAAGGGAATTTAATTAAACTAAGGAGCTTCTGCACAGCAAAAGAAACTATCATCAGAGTGAACAGGCAACCTAC
The DNA here is from genome assembly GCF_000001405.40 of Homo sapiens. Taxonomy (NCBI): domain Eukaryota; kingdom Metazoa; phylum Chordata; class Mammalia; order Primates; family Hominidae; genus Homo; species Homo sapiens. The sequence continues at coordinate 330,812 of NW_003315915.1, read as the reverse complement.
GGAATGGGAGAAAATTTTTAAAATGTATCCATCTGACAAAGGGCTAATATACAGAATCTACCAGGAACTTAAATAAATTTACAAGAAAAAAAACCCCATCAAAAAGTGGGCAAACAATATGAGCAGACACTTTTCAAAAGAAGGCATTTATGCAGCCAACAGACATATGAAAAATGCTCATCATCACTGGTCATTAGAGAAATGCAAACCAAAACCACAATGAGATACCATCTCATGCCAGTTAGAATGACAATCATTAAAAAGTCAGGAAACAACAGATACTGGAGAGGATGTGGAGAAATAGGAAAGCTTTTACGCTGTTGGTGGGAGGGTAAATTAGTTCAACCATTGTGGAAGACAGTGTGGTGATTCCTCAAGGAGCTATAACTAGAAATACCATTTGACCCAGCAATCCCATTACTGGGTATCCAAAGGAATATAAATCATTCTACTATACAGACACATGCACACTTATGTTTATTGCGGCACGGTTCACAATAGCAAAGACTGAGAACCAACCCAAATGCCCATCAGTGATAGACTGGATAAAGAAAATGTGTCATGTATACACTATGGAATACTATGCAACCATAACAAAAGGATGAGTTCATGTCCTTTGCAGGGACATGGATGAAGCTGGAAACCATTATTCTCAGCAAACTAACACAAGAACAGAAAACCAAACACCACGTGTTCTCACCCATAAGTAGGAGTTGAACAGTGAGAACTCATGGACACAGGGAGGGGAACATTACACACCGGGGCCTGTCGGTGGGTGGGAGGCTAGAGAAGGAATAGCATTAAGAGAAATACCTAATGTAGATGACGGGATGATGGATGCAGCAATCTACCATGGCATGTGTATACCTATGTAAGAAACCTGCACATTTTGCACACGTATCCTGGAACTTATAAATAAAAAAATTGTAAAACCTAAAAATAATTCTACATATAATATAACTTGTTTTTAAAGTTAATTAATATACTGAAGAGATTAAAAGTATATCTTTCCAATTTAAAAAAAAATGCACACACACACAATTACATCAGAAACTTAAGACTTGTCTAAATGTAATGTATACATTTCTATAGGCTTGAATTATTTATCTTTGGGAACGTGTAGCAGTTTGCCAATGCAATTTACATGCATATATGGCCTTGTAAATATGTTTTGGAGTTTTCCAAACGGTATGCTGGCATAAACATTTTAAATATTTAGCTATTCTAGAAATCAGATATTTTATTTCTCTTTAATAGACTTTATTTTTAGAGTAGTTTAAGGAATCACAGCAAAACCAACCATAAAATACTGAGTTTTCCCATATCTTCCCAGATACTTTATTTACAGAATAAACACATAGAAACTCATTTTTTCATTTTTAGACCTTTGTACTATTTTTATGATAGACTAATATAAAGCAGCGTCTTTTAAATTAACTGGTAAAAAATATACATTTAACTGGACTAGATTTAATTTTCGCTCCTTATAGTCATTGGAAAATAGTCGTCCAGGTGAAAGGATGCTTCATTAAGAATAATGACAATGACATACAAGTCATACATTTTTAGGTATGCTACAAAAAGTAGCAAATGTCTAAGCAATGAAAATTTCAATTTTTTTTACAATTAATGGCATTTGATACCATAAATCTAAGATGAAAGAACACTAATCAAGATAAGTAATGAAAAAATTCACACTTAAGGATCTCATAGTCAATTATAGAAAACCAAAGACAAAAAGAAAATCAGAGGGGAAAAAATGCCTTAGTTTACAGAAGAACGAAGGATAAAAATAACAGTGGACTTCTTGTCTGAAACAATGCAAACAATCAGAGAATGAAATGAATTATTTAAAATGAAGAATAAAAATACTAACCTGGAATTCTCCATCCAGTGATATGTATTTATAAAGTGACGAAGAAATAAAGACTATCAAGGACAAACAAAAACTTAGGAAATTATTTGCCAGCAGATTCTTCTCTGCAAGAAATGTTGAAAGAGAAAAGTGTTCTTCAGGGATGAAGAAAATTTTGTACGTAGGAGAATCAGATGTAAATAAAGAAAGGAAAAGCATCACGGAAGAAATAAAGGAGAATAAAATGAAATATATTTTTTTAATTGTTTGTTGATCTAAACTACAACTCCTTATGTAAATTAATAATAATAGCAACAAATACTGGATGATTGTAAGCATACACATGAGTGGAGTGAATGACAATAATGGTATGTGGGATGGAAGGGAATAATTGGAAATACACTTTTATAAGGTAACTTCAATATCTGTGAAATATTGAAGGTTATTTTAGAGTAGAAAAATGTGTATTGCAACTCCAGGAGAACCACTAAAACATATTTTTAAAAGCACAATTTATAAACTAATGGAAGAAATAAAATCTTATAAAATGCTCGATTAACACTGGAGAAGACAAAAAAGGAAGAATTAAAGAAAAATACAATAAGTAGAAACCTTTAAAAATATGATAGACTCTAATTCGATTCTATTTGTAATAATATAGATGTGAATTTCTATATTCAGCAATTAACGCGGATTTTTAGAGATTTTCTTTTAAAAATTCAACTATGCATTGTGTATAAGAAAACCATTTTATACAGAAATACTCAGGTTAAAAGTAAAGAAGTAAAAGTAAAGAAATTATATATATATATATATATATATATCTTTACACCAATCCAAAAAAAAAAAAAAAAAGCTCCAGTTACTCCAGTAGCATAATCCAAAGAAAGATAGGGTAGATATATTAATTTTAATCAAAGCAGACTTCAGAATGACAAAATTTATTAGCGGTAAAGACTGGCTTTAGATAATGATATGGAGGTCAATTACCCAAGAGAACATAAAATCCTTGATGTATATGCACTTAACAACAGAACATCAAGATGCACGAAATAAAAATAAATGGGACTGCAAAGAGAAACAGACAACACTGCTCTTTCAGTAATTAATAGATCAAAATAGGTAGAAAGTTTGTAGATATAATTGACCCGACCCAAACAGTCCTAATAATCAACTTAATCTGATTAGATTTGTAGAATAGTCCAAATAATAGCAGAATATATGTATTTTCAAACTCACGTAGAACATTCACAAAGATGAAACACTTCCTTCATAGGCCATTAAACACACCTTAACAAATTTAAAAGAATTGAAATTTTACAAAATATATTTTCAAACTGCAATGAATTAAATAAGAAATCAGCAATGGGAAGATAGCTGGAAAATTCTGCAAATCTGGAGGGAACTAATTAATAGACCTATAATTAACACACTGGACAAAGAAGAAGTCACAATATAAATAATAACTTATTTTGAGCTAAATAAAAATGATAATGTATCTTACCAAAATGTGTGGTATGCAGCAAGAGCAATGCTTAGAGGCAAATTTATAGCTCTAAAAGTGTATATTAGAAAATAAGAAAGACCTAAAAATCATTACTATAAACTACTGCCTTAGCAAACTAGTGAGAGAAGAACAACATTAGCTGAAACTAGAAGAGGAAAATAACGAATAAAAGGTAGGGAAGAAATTAATGAAACTGGAAACAAAGAGAGAAAAATAAATGAAGCCAAAAGCTAATTTGAAAAGGTACATAAAATTGAACATTTCAGCAAGTCTAAGAGAAAAGAGAAGATGCAACTTCCCAACAGCAGAAATGAAAGAGGGGTTATCATTACTGATCCCATAAATAATAAAAGTATAATAAATGAGTATAATGAACAACTTCATACTTATAAACTTGAAAATGTAGGTGAAATGGATCAATTTCTTAAAGACACAAGGAAAATAAACTGTACATATTTGTATCTATCAAAGATACTGAGTTAATATTTAATAACTTTCCAAAACCCAAAGTACCAGTTCCAGGTGATTTCACTGATGAAGTCTACCAAAAATTAAAGGAGAAAAGGAGACCAGTTCTCCATAATCTTCTGCACAAAATAGAAGTAGAGGAAGTGATTCCTGTAGTGAATTGAATGGTGGCCTACCAAAATAAGATATTGTTCCCCAAATTTGTGAAAATAATGTTGTCTGGAAAAGGGGTATTTTAGTTACCATAAAAAGGATAGATGTAATTATATTAATGATCTAGAGATTAGATCATTCTGGATTGGTGGGGGCTAAGTCAAATCATACATGTCCTTGAAGAGGACAGAAATAAAGAAGACATGTGAACATGAAAGCAAAGATTGGAGTTACATAGTTTCAAGTTATCAACAAACTTATTCTTAGCTTTATATGGTAAGTCACAGAATCTAGAATAAACAACCTAATATTTAAAGTAAAGAAAAAAGTTGGAGGACTTCTTATACTACCTGAATTCAAGACTTAAAATAAGTCTACAGTGATCCAAAGTAGTTTTGGCAAAAGAATAGACAGAAAGATGGGTAGAACAAAATAGAGAACCCAGAAAAAGACCCATACAACTGTAGTAACTGATCTTTGACAAATAACTGCCTTATATTCATGATCCAATTGATTTTGGAGGCAAGAAATTGCTAAAGTGGACCCCATAACAGTTATTCAGCCATGTAGGGCCATCTGTTAGCGGATATCTGTGGGTTGTATGAGCTGTTTTCTGAATATGAGACTACTTCTTCATCCACAAAACATAGCATTCAGATGATAAAATAATGATGGTCAAATATAAATGTCTATGTGTTAAAAAAAATAAGCAGTATCAAATGGTATAAAATATAATGGTAGCATCCCTTTCATATTGTCTAGTCTTTTTACAGACTTCCTCATCTAACTCAATAAGCTCAGAGTGTAGCGAGTGATTATTTTCTTATTTCTCCCTAAGATGGTATATGTCTACACCACTGTAGATGAAATGGTGATAGATTAATTCCTGCACACATGGAAATATTAGAACTTCAGTGAGTATTTATTTTATATAGAACCCCACTTAAAGGAAAAAACAAAACTGTGAGTGCTTGTACATTCCTCCAGCCCTCTTCTTGAATTATTTGGTAGGCTATATATTCACAAGACTCTGATGAATATACAAGCATAGATTCATGTGAGAATATATACATGTATCTGAGTGCATATGTTCATATATACATATGAATGTATGTATGGCTGTACACATTTTTTAATAGGATGTAACTATTTTACTTATTTTAGAGGCAAATAAATGAAAGGTTTTACTTTTAGTAGCATACCAGGGGTCACTCCGTTCATAAGTGGCAGAGCCATATTTTAAAGTTAAGTTAGTTGAAACTACAGCTCAAAATCTTTACATTTCACTTCCGGTTTAAAATCCAAGTTATTTCATCTTTTCTAATTGTATTAATAATTAAATATTCATAGGTATATTTATTTCATGTTTATAACTAAATGATGCATATGAGTCTAGATAAACAAATTTCTATTCAAATTTATTATAAAATTAGACATGATAAATATTACAATCAATATTCTAACAAACATTCAATGTACAATGATGTAGAAAGAGATATAATGATATGAAAAGAGAACTTTTATTTAAAAATTTATATACTCAAACATGGTGTTATGTAAATTAGAAATGTTAGCTCTTATATCTGTATTTAAAAACTATCTCTGAAATGATTATTCATTGTTATTACTCAGATTGCTTCTGAGTAATAGAGTGTTATCATAACAAAGAAATAAACAATATGTATTTTATTCTTCCAGGGCTGCTATGACATTTCTACTGCATGAAGTCCCTTGTGACTCTGGTCCCTTTTCTTGAGTCTGAGGGTGAAATTACACTGAAAGTTACCCTCTTGACAGTCAGGTTTTCTTGACATCAACCTGAAGCTGAAGATTACTGTGCAATAAATTTATTAGGAATTACTCTTGAGATCTATGCTTTAGTGGGAAGAGGAGGAAGCAACATTGCACAGAGGCTGTAGTGCTGTGATAACAAGGTCACCAGACTGTGGGGAGCTCTGGAGCTCTGATGTCCTTGCAGAGTTGCCCGGAGGTGGCCCCAAGGACTGGACCTTTCCACCACACTAATCTCTCATTTGATGCAAGCTGCTATGAAAATGTGATGGTCTAATTTCAAATTTCAGGCAGAAATAAGGAGAAAAGTATGAATGAGATAAATATGTGTACTAGACCTCCTTTAAGGCTTAAGCTGCAATACAATGCTTATCCTCATGTTTTATTAGCCTGAAGTTACTAACATTTTGACCCTTTTTTATTTTTTATTTTTATTTCCATAGATTTATGGGAAACAGATGGTGTTTGGTTACATGAGTAATTTCTTTAGTGGTGATTTGTGAGATTTTGTTGGACACATCACCTGAGCAGTATACACCATACCCAATTTATAGTGTTTTATCCCTCACCCGCCTCCCACCCTTTAAATTTCATATGAAACCTAAAAAGAACCTGCATAGCCAAGACAATCCTAAGCAAAAGAACAAAGCTGGAGGCTTTTCCCCAATTCCAGAAAGTTTCCAAAGTCCATTGTATCATTCTTATGCCTTTGCATCCTCATAGCTTAACTCTCACTTATGGTTTTAAAAGTGCATACACTGTATATGTATTAGGAATGGCAAGAGATGTAGAATGACAAGAGATGTAGAAACGTATGGTTGTTAATTATGCACATCTCTTTTCATTCAGTTTCCTTGGTTGCTAAATAAAGAAAAGGGGCCAATTATGGATAGCTTCTATTAATGGCAGGGAAGAATGCGGTAATGGGAGCATGGGGAGCAAGAAGACAGGTGCATCCCAAAGACTACCTCACCTTGCATTTCAGGCACCCATTAACCAAAAGGGCTAATAAGATTGGTCATCATATAATCTAACCAAACTGGGGAAAACAGTTTGAAGACTGGTAGGGTAATGGACAGAGAGAAGTAAGTCATGGAGAAATACTTCCTTTATTCTCTGGATACTTAAACCTATATGGAAGGGTGAACTAAACCTTACCCTTTCTTACTATTTCAAGATGAGCACATCATTTACGGATAGACGATAGATAGATAGATACATACATACATACATACATACATACATACATACATACTAGCATTAATATAGGATACACAACATGAGCTAGAGAAAATCAGGAGATCTGTTATGCCCTTACTATAGGATATAGAATAAAATAGAAAATAAGTGTAACTGTGTAGCTGTCAGCATCATATCAAGGCAATCACAAGCAGCTTGGTAAGAGGTCATTGAGGTGAATGAGAAAATGCTATCACTGAACGATCATCTTTCAGCAATTAAAATATATTATATTTTTCACTAAAAAAAGAACATAAACCTAAGAACATGGCATCTTTAGACAAGACCCTAGACAATAGAGCCACAACTGGCTGTTTACCCCAGACTGAGGAGGAAGAAGAAAATCAGTATATTATTTTAAATTAGTATTTTAATAGGAGGGGCACTCCATGTTCCCTCCCCTCTCATTCATAAAACTTTTAAAATGTGGGAAGAATAACTGTTCACTATGGGATACTGGCTAGGGTTCAAATACGAACATATTTTGCTTGGGGGCTACCACATTAATTTTATTGAAAACAACCATTTTCCCCCACTTCCGGAAAAAAATAAATAAAAGGAAACAAAACAAGAAATGAGTTCTAAAAACTTGATCTTAATTTAAGTATCTTTTGAAAAGCTTTAAGAATTCATTTAATTCACATTCTAATCCACCTCTAAATCCCACTTGATGTCAATGTATGCAAGGTACTATTAGTCAAGGGGCACCAATGATCTCTTCTAACAAAATTCTTCCCTTGATCAGTCATGGTGTCTTGCATCCCCTGGATTAATATAATTAAAGCTCTTTCTTTCAGACTTTTAATTCATTTCTTGGTGAGGTATTATAAATCTAGGAAGTCCAAAACATTGACTAATTAGTAGTAATTGGGTAACGATTTTTCCACACTACCATAAATTTTGAAGAAAATACATATATTTGAAATTAATTTCTTGGCAATTTTGAATGTTTGCTGAAACAAAATCTCTAAATAAAAGTGCTATTATTTTTTATTTGGGAAAGGTAATATTCAGAAACACACTAATTAATACTTTCCACGGATAATGCATTTTATGTGACACATGCCATCTTAATTTATTTTGCTCAGAACTACATTATGCAATGATAACTACATTTTAAAATAAAGAGTGTAATTGAATGTTTTGGAACTCAATGGATAAATGCTTGAGGGAATAGATACCCCAATGTTCATGATGTGCTTATTTCGCATTGCATGTCTGTCTGTATCGAAACATCTGAGGTACCCCAGAAAGAAGCATATTCAGCTGTCTGAATAAACTAATTGGTATACTTAGCACCAAGAACAATTTCTTGAGCATTTATGGGATTAAAATGCTATTATAATTACACTATTTAGAATTTCAGATTCAATTTCAATTCATCTGGATTAACAATTTTTTCTTTAGTGTACTATTTAAAGGATCATTTCACAATGTTATTTTTCTCTGATATTGAGTTTAATGTTATCAAAAATAATAGAGATACAAGTAGTACATTATTCTGTGATTATTTTTACTCATTAGTAAGAAAACTACTCACTAAATATTTTATTTTAAACATGAAAATTTTACTTTCTAGAATATGCAGTTAAAAACATGCTAGTAAATTATTGGCATTTACAGTTATACTATACGTTAAGAATATAAGTTTTAATTAGGTTTATGCCATAAAGAATGAATGAGAAAAAGGAAGCACAACATTTTATGCTGTTTATGATGTTTATTTACTTGCTAACTTGGGGATACTCATTTTTCTCTTTGTATAGCCCCATTTCCATAAACCCTACTATGACATAATACCTTCTCAAACTTATAAATGTAGACTGAATCTCTTTACTGTATTGTTGGAATATAAAATGTGGCCAGTTCATGATAATTTGGTTTATAATTAGCAAAATGGCTTTGTCTAATTTTTCACTGTTTCTTTTATTGTTTTTCACTTTCGGTCAACTATATGTTGGTAATCTAATCGTTATGCCTAGTTCAGAAACCTCTTCCAAGGCCTGTATCTGTATTTTCAGTTTCTCCCTTCCCAGAGACGTTCAGCACTCTATTGTTTGTCATCATAGAAAGTGCTCCAAGTTACAGCAATTTATATATTTTTTGATATCCACCCATCCACTAAATTATATTTTGTCTGCTTTATTAAAAAACAAAAATGAGTGCCTAGCTTATTATAAATGCTAGATAGACACTTTTAAAATGAATGAATGAATAAATTAATAATGGCAATACCTGGAACAAATAAAAATTTTATTTATTTTACTTATTTTTTTATTATTTGCATTTTATTCTGTTTCTGAGACAGGGTCTTGCTGTGTCACGCAGGCTGGAGTGCAGTGGTGTGATCATGGCTCACTATAGCCTCGAACTATCAGGCTCAAGCAATCCTCTCACCTCAGCCCCCAGAGTAGCTGGAACAACAGGTGCACACCACAACACCCAGCTAAGTTTTGTATTTTTTGTAGAGATGGGGTTTCGCAGTGTTGCCCAGGCTGATCTTGAAGTTCTAGGCTTAAGAAAACCACACACCTTCACCTCCCAAAGTGCTGGGATTACAGGTATGAAGCACAGCACCCAGCAGAAGAATTTTAATTTATACTTCTCCCTTCCAAACTCATGGTTTTCTTTACAATATTATTTTCATTTGCTTTTCTGAGTGATGGTATTGTTATCTGCAGTCAAATAAACCATCTCCTTTGTTCTTAAAACCTTGATGAATATTAAACAATCAACTTCAGCTTTTCTCCATACTTTACAACACTTTGTTGGTTCAATTATCCAACAAGTCATTGTAACATTCTTTTAATATCTTTTTAACAACTCATTTTTATTTACAGGGTCTTTTTAAATGTTCTCTAAGTTATCTTCTACCAAAAGGGATCTGATTAAAGATATTCACTGTTTCTTCACAAATCAATTGTTTGAATACTGTGATCTTAGCCCATGTCTCTCTACCATTCTGTTGTACATGTTATTCTCTCTAAAATCTGAAATGATTTTGTTTTTAACTTGGTCATGTAAAACATGAATTTCCATTTAAGATTCAGAATAAGTATCATTGCTTTGATCCTTTTCTGATACTCCAAAGAAGGAAATTTTTCATGTCTGGTTTTATATTTATTCATCATACTGGTGAATTTTCAATTATGGCACATTATTTTGATCAAGGATACGTGATTGATGATTGATTAGTGATTGGTAACTTGCTTGCTCTCCAACTCAATTGAGTGTGATATGGTTTGGCTGTGTCCCCACCCAAATCTCATCTTGAATTCCCACATGTTATGGGAGTGACCCGGTGGAAGGTAATTGAATCATGTTGGCACAAGTTTCCTGTGCTGTTCTCATGATAGCAAATAAGTCTCATGAGATCTAATGGTTTTAAAATGGGAGTTTCTCTGCACAAGCTCTCTTCTCTTGTCTGCTGCCATGTGAGATATGCCTTTCACCTTCTGCCATGATTGTAAAGCCTCCCCAGCCACGTGAAACTGTAAGTCAATTAAACCTCTTTCTTTTGTAAATTGCTCAGTTTCGTATATGTCTTTATCAGCAGCATGAAAATGGACTAATTGGTACCAGGAGAGTGGGGTACTGCTGAAAAGATACCCAAAAATGTGGAAGCAACTTTGGAACTGGGTAACAGGCAGCGGTTAGAACAGTTTGGAGGGCTCTGAAGACAGCAGGAAAAAGCAAGAAAGTTTGGAACTCCTAAGAGACTTGTTGAATGGCTTTGACCAAAATGCTGATAGTGATATGGAAAATGAAATTTAGGCTGAGGTGGTGTCAGATGGAGATGAGGGACTTTTTGGCGACTAGCGCAAATGTGACTCTTGTTATGTTTTAGCAAAGAGGCTGGCAGCCTATTGCCCATGCCCTAGAGATTTGTGGAACTTTGAACTTGAGAGATGATTTAGGGCATCTGGTGGAAGAAATTTCTAAGCAGCAAAGAATTCAAGAGGTGACTTGGGTGCTGTTAAAGGCATTTAGCTTTTTTTTTTTTTTTTTTTAGAGACAGAGTCTCGCTCTGTCACCCAGGCTGGAGTGCAGTGGCGCAATCTCGGCTCACTGCAAGCTCAGCCTCCCATGTTCACACCATTCTCCTGCCTCAGCCTCCTGAGCAGCTGGGACTACAGGTGCCTACCACCACGCCTGGGCACGGTGGCTCACGCCTGTAATCCCAGTACTTTGGGAGACCAAGACAGGCGGATCACAAGGTCAGGAGATCGAGACCATCCTGGCTAACACAGTGAAACCCCGTCTTTACCAAAAATTCAAAAAGGCATTTAGTTTTATAAGTGAAGCAGAGCATAAAAGTTTGGAAAATTTATGGCCTAACACTGCAATAAAAAAGAAAATCCCATTTTCTGAGAAGAAATTCAAGCTGGCTGCAGAAATTTGCATAAGTAATGAGAAGCCTAATGTTAATCACCAAGACAATGGGGAAAATGTCTCAAGGGCATGTCAGAGACCTTGGAGGCAGCCCCTCCCATCACAATTCCAGGGATCTAGGAGAAAAAAGTGGTTTCATATGCCAAGACTAGGGTTCCTGTTCTGTGTGCAGCCTAGCGACTTCGTGTCTTGTGTCCCAGGCACTCCAGCCATGGCTGAAAGGGGCCAAAGTCGTGCCGGGGCCGTAGCTTCAGAGGGTGCAAGCCTCAAGCCTTGGCAGCTTCCACATGATGTTGAGCCTGTAAGTGCACAGAAGTCAAGAATTGGGGTTTGGGTACCTCCACCTGGATTTCAGGAGATGTATGGAAATGTCTGGATGCCCAAGCAGAAATTTGCTGTAGGGCTGGGGTCCTCAAGGAGAACCTCTGCTAGGGCATACAGAAGGGAAATGTGGGATGGGAGCCCCCACACAGAGTCTCTACTGGGGCACTGCCTAGTGGAGCTGTGAGAAGAGGGCCACTGTCCTCCATACCCCAGAATGAGAGACCCACTGACAGCTTGCACCGTGCATCTAAGAAAAGCCACAGACACTCAACATTAGCCCATGAAAGCAGCCAGGAGGGAGGCTGTACCCACAAAGCCACAGGGGCAGAGCTGCCCAAGACCAAAGGAATCCACCTCTGGCATCAGCATGACCTGGATATGAGGCATGGGGTCAAAGGAGATCATTTTGTTGCTTTAAGATTTGACTGCCCTGCTGGATTTCAGACTTGCATGGGGCCTGCAGCCCCTTTGTTTTGGCCAATTTCTCCCATTTGTAATGGCTGTATTTACCCAATGCCTATACCCCCACTGTATCTAGGAAATAAGTAACTTGCTTTAGATTTTACAGGCCCATAGGCAGAAGGGGCTTGCCTTGTCTTGGATGAGACTTCGGGTTGTGGACTTTTGAGTTAATACTGAAATGAGTTAAGACTTTGGGGGACTGTTGGGAAGGTATGATTGGTTTTGAAATGTGAAGACATGAGATTTCAGAGGGGCCAGCAGTGGAATAATATGGTTTTGTTGTGTCTCCACCCAAATCTCATCTTGAATTCTCATGTGTTGTGGGAGGGACCTGGTGGGAGGTAACTGAATCATGGGAGCAGGTCTCTCCCATTCTGTTCTCATGATAGCAGATACGTCTCACTAGATCTGATGGTTTAAAAAAGGGGGTTTCTCTGCACAAGTTTTCTTCACTTTTCTGCCGCCATGTGAGATGTGCCTTTCACCTTCAGCCATTATTCTGAGGCCTCTCCAACCACTTGGGACTGTAAGTCAATTAAATCTTTTTATTTTATAAATTGCCCAGATTCAGGTATGTCTTTATCGGCAGCATGAAAATGGAATAATACAAAGTGTGTTTTAGGAGATTGTTATATTAATCACTAATCAATAGAAAACAGTATCTGAAGATCTGAATTAAGCTTCTGTCTGTAACATTAAGTTTCATGATATTGCGAGCCATTTTTTAAGCCATGGTTAATCTACAAAAACAAAAATATGACTGATAAAACTAATATATGCCCTTCCTAATTCCTAGGGGTTATAAATTATAAAGTTCTGTATAAAGACTATTATAGGAGGTACTCATAATGTTAAAATAAAGACAGAAAGACTAAATTCTACTAAAGCTAATAATCTTAGGACCGCAGATGTAATTTCAGGTGAGTGATTCAGCAGTTATTATCAAGGTCTATAGAAAAATTAGATCTGAGAAATTCAAAGTTCTAAAGTTATTTCCAGTGTTATTTCATTGTATACATTTAACAGTAGAATTGTGGACATATGAGTATAAAATGATGAAAGTGTTTATCTTAAACTGAGACTTCACACTTAAGTCTCTGATATAATTTTTGGATGGATTATTGGTCATGGAAGCAGAATACCAGAGTGAATCTGGATAAATGAAGATATTCCTCAATTAGAACCTAACTTTTCCTGCAGCTTAGCATGTTGTTACAACTGAACCTGAGCCAAAGGAATTCTAAGATTAGACGTAGAGATGACATCAAGGCCAGATAACTAAACATGGGAGCAAACTTACATACAGCCTTGAGGCTAATGGCTGTCTATGTAGAAGTGAATCCAAGGTTCAGAAAAATCCTCAAAAAGTTAGTACAAGTGAGTAACAATCTGAGAATGTATATAGAAAACATCAATTAGGGAATCATTAAAAGATTGAGGTAAAGAAGAAAATATAGAGAATGCTATGCAGAAAAGAGGCTTCCTTGAAATAAAACACAGATATTAGGCTGCAAGACATGAACTTACTGCTAATAAAATTAGCTTAACAAGCTCCTGAGAGAGGCTGTCAGAATTAGTCAATATTTGGAGAGTGGATGACAAAGCAGTGGAAGATACAAGACCAGAGTCAGTTTTGAGAACAGCTTTTAATAAACCAAAATCTTTAGCATAGGCAAACACAAAAGAAGGGAGCCATGACTATTATTATTGTTATTGTCTCATTAATAATTATTTTCCCATTTGCTTTCCATATCTCTAAAATTGCTGTTCTCCACTTGACTGATTAATTTTGCTCAGGTAACCATGGTTTTCTCCGGTTAAAATATAATTTGACACTGACATAATATGCTACAGCTTCTACTGAGACTTCTCTGGTCTCACTCCATTTTCTTTACCAACTGATAATTTTCCTGGCTCTAAAATATGCTTTGTCTGAAGTTAATAGAAGTACTTTATCTTACCCCTGATTAGTGTTAGCCAGGTATATCTTTCTCCATCTCTCTCTCTCTTTATTTTTTTAATGAGATGGGGTCTCACTATGTTACCCAGGATGGCCTTGAACTCCTGAAGTCAAGCAATCCTCCCACCTCAGCCTCCCAAGTGCTGGGATACAGGTGTGAGCCACTGTGCCCAGCAATCCATCTTCTTACTTTTAATCTATTTGAGTCTTTATATTTAGAGTGAGTTTATTGTAAATAGCATATAATTTAGCAAATAATTTTTAAAAATATTTTATTGAATATGTACATATTGAAAAATACACATTAACGAATTTGTATAAACTTAATATACCCATATAATTTATACCTAAATCAGGAAGTAAAATATTGTTAACACTTCAGAGGGGCCCTCAGACTTCCAGTCACTTCACCCTATTATGAAGAGTTAATATGCTTACTTCTAAAAGCATAATTTCTATCATCGTTTTAGATTTCATTAAAAATTGTATTTGAATTGTAAATGATATTTTGGCTCTTTTCTCTGTCAGGAGTAATTGTAATAGATTTTAAAATGATGATAAATAAAACAAACAAACAAAAAAAACTGAGTGTCCAGGGTACACCTTTCCAAATTTCCCTTCCTTTCACCCCAACCCTGTTGTGGAAGAAGCCAGTTTTATATATTTTATAGATTAATTTCAAAACTCATTATAGGCTTATAACATGTGGTGCTTTGACTTTTTTGAACTAGTAATATCTGACTGATTCCCTCATTAATTAATTAGTTGCATAGATTTTGGCATGTGTTAAATTTATATTTCATTTTGATTTTTCGTATTAACCTATAACACCTTAAGGCTGAATGTATGTGTCTTCCCGAAATTCATATGTTGGAACCCTAACCTCCAATGTGACTGCATTTGGAGATGGAGTCTTTGGAAGATAATTAGGGTTAAATGAGGTCTAGAAGGTGGGACCCTCAAGATGGGATTAATGTCTTTATTGAAAGTGTGATACCTAAGATGAATCTCTCTTTCCCATTTTCTGAAGATACATATTGAGGAAAGGCCAGGTAAACACACCTCAGAAAGGTGGTCTTCTGGAACCCAGGAAGCGAGTACTCACTAGAAGCTGAAACAGTAATCACCTGGAACTTAGACTTCCCAGCCTCCAGAACTCTGTAAAAATTAATTTATCTTGCTTAACCCAAACAGACCATAGTATTTTGTTATGGGAGTGCAAGCTGACTAGTACATATGGGTCTACTAATCAAATAAACTATCATTTCTCCTACATGTTTTTTAAGAAAATTAAAAACATATAATTTTCTGTTCAATGCAATTGAATCATTGTTCTGACAAAATTGTTTTTCAAAAATATTTTTTGAAATTTATCAGTTGGAAATAATTTCCAAGATCTTTAAGTAAGTTAAAAATCTTATGTTTGATATTGAGTTTAGTTACATAATGGTCATCATTGATACCTAAATAAATTTTAAGTGAAAGACAACACTGAAATATTGATTAATAAGCATAAATTATATTTAGTTGCATATGATTCTTACTTTTATACACTACAGAGAGGCTATACTTTTATATTTTTGGGTCTTCTTAATAAATACATTTGTTTTATCACTTTAAGAAGGTGTAAAAGGGATGTGCAGGGCTGTCTCATGTAGGTTTATGAACTTTGCTAATTTGCTAAAACGTTTGAATAAGAGAGAAAATTCTCAATTACCTTGTCCCACCAGTATCTCTGTGAAATAAAGTTCGTTATGTTGATTAAGCCTTATGAACTCTTGAGATATTGAGAATGAGCAGTAGTGTCAGAGAAACATAACTGTACATGAATTTTGTTTTTTTTAAATAAATGTAGCAAGGAAAAAGATTAGTCTTGTCCTAAGTGATTGGTTCTCAATAATTGTGGTATTCAGGCTCCTCTACACTCTTGCTTTTTATTATGGATATGGAAGAGTTTTTGTTTATGTGTATTTCAGCAATCAATGTTTACCAATTAGAAAAAAGAAAGAGGTTTAGAAATACTCATTGATTTATTTGAAGATAGTAAAGATGGATGACTTACATATTAACATAACAACTTTTGGTTTTGACCTCATATACCCCTGAGAGAAAACTACTATTTTTAAATAAAGTATCAATTTGTTTCAGAATATGAAAGAGCATAATGAAGGACACCATGAAGTTACTTGTATTATTTATAATACGACCTTTGAAAAGAAGCCATAGCATGTTTTAAAATCATACAAATGTTCACTCTACTTCCTTAGTCTTCTGATAAATGGCCTCATCTATAACTGAAAATCATTCTTCACTTTACATTTAACCTCTCTAGATAGTAGAGATTCTATATTTTACCAGAATAGTCTTACGTTTTTTATGTTGATTTTACTATGTCCTTGATAATTTAAGAAAAAGTATACAAAGAATAAAGTTTTCCTGTCAAAGAAAGAGCTGAGGTTTTTACTGTGATTATATTTTACATATTTGTTTTTAAATATTTCATTGTAGTTTTGATTAAATAGGTAACTGAGTGCTGTGTTCCAGGCACCTATGTCCTTAAGTGTTCAGTCTCTTCTCACAACTTTTTTGGAGGTTTTCATAGCCTTTTAAAAATCAGATTCAAAATTTATAAAAAGGAAGGAAAAAAAGAAAAAACAACTTTCAGGATATCTTTTCTTTATACCTAAAATTATCTTTAAATTTTCATAAGTGCCTTGGGAAATTACAAACATTAGGTTTTCACTTTTTAAAAAGAAATAACAGAAATAATTGCCTATGTTTGATGTGTTTTTATTACCAAAGTTTCATGGATACAGTTATTTAGTCACAATAGATAGTCTTCCTAGGTTAAATTTTGTAGATAAAATGTCACCAGTAGTAATATTTTAGAAATTGTATGTTTTATGGATTGTCCCTGGAGATCTACTAATGCCCTTAACTTTCTTCATCATTTATTTTTAACCTCAGGAAAAAATAATCAAGACTCTTATGAAATAGTTTTGTCAAATATTCCTATATTGATCAGGGAAACTGTAGTGTTTTATGTGATGATATTGGGAAATTTCAGAATAGTATTGTTAGTCAAAATTTCATTTATTGTTTAAAATTTTTACTTTGCCACAATAATTACATTTAATCTAACATCTTTAGGCTAATTTTTAATAGGAATGTGCATAAGACTTACACATGGAATTTCATACAAATACAGATGTCTATGCATATTATTTATTGTGTATATCAAATTATGTCAGATTAGTGGGTTAAACAATACCCATTTATTATCTCAGTTTTTGTAGGTCATAACATTGGGTATCAATTTTTTGGCTCTAGGAATTGCTCAATTGTTCAATGCTGCATGGCCCTGGATTTGTAAAATAAACTTTAAAAATTCTATATGCTAAGTCATACTCTTACCAAAATAAAAGAGATTAATCAACCTTGTTTTGCCTGTCCAGAAAAAAAAATGGGAATAAGTAAAATGGGAAAATAAAGAAGAAGATTATTGAATGTTCTTTCTATTGCAACCTCCCAGGTTATCTTAGTCTTCCACTGTTTTTAAGAGTTTTGCAATTTTGTAAATGATAAATAACTTCTAGCAATAAAATTGACCTTAATTCATAAATATTCAAATAATTTGTCTGCTGAGGAAAAACTTGATTTCTTCCAGAAATCCTTCCTTTCAAATTAAGAAGTTTTGTATCTGTTCAATATTTCCAAATGTTTAGTACTCTAAATCCTTCTTTTAACAAACTGCTAGCTCATTCATTAGTTGTGGAGTTAAATAAATCTTTGGCATATATTCATTTTATGTTTGCATGAGTCATAATTTTACCTTTTAAAAATATCATCACTTATTTTCTCTTTTTGCTCAACATTGTCTTGATAGGATTAATTCATATTATTCTATGTAGCTGTAAATCAAGAAAGTATCATTGCATTGTCAATATCTTTTCCCATTTTAACACAAGGTAATATAATTTGGGGCCATATATTCAATTGATAATTTTCATTATTTGTCAATTTTTAAAGTTTAATATAGAATATATAAGTAAACTGTTATATAATTATTAATATAAAAGTGTGAAAAATTGAAATTCACAAACTTTTCAAATTTACAGTAGACTATAATTTTTGAAATATATTTGAATTTATTTATATACAGTCTAAAAATGTTTAAAATTAGTAGGTTTCCAATTCACATTATTTTATTTAATATTTTTACTATCATACAAATGTAATCCACTTTTCCTGCACAATTTTAGAGCCTCTAATAATTTATTTCTCTACTGACTTAACATTTAATTTTTTACACAATAAGATTTCTACTTAAGAGAAAAACATAATATAGCAAACAAAACAAAATTATCAATTAAAAATTTATTTTAGATATGAGAGTACAAGTGCAAGTTTGTTACATAAGAATATTGCATGATGCTGACGTTTGGGTTATGAATCCTGTATTAGTCAGGGTTCTTCAGAGGAACAGAATTAATAGGATACATGTATACATGACAGGGAATTTATTAAGGAGAATTGACTCACACAATCACAAGGTGAAGTCACACGATAGGCTGTCTGCAAGATGAGGAGGAAGGAAGGCAGTAACGGCTCATTCCGAGTCCAAGAGCCTCAAAATTAAGGAAACTGACAGTGCAGCCTTCGGTCTGTGGCCAAAGGCCCAAGAGCCCCTGGCAAACCACTGGCATAAGTCCAAGTGTCCTAAAGCCAAATAACTTGGAGTTTGATGTTCAATGGCAGGATGCATTCAACATGGGAGAAATACGAAAACCAGGAGACTCAGCAAGCCAGCTTATTCCACTTTCTTCTGCCTGCTTTTTCTAGCCACACTGGCAGTGGATTGGGTGTGTCCCACCCACACCGATGGCAGGTCTTCCTCTTCCAGTCCACTGACTCAAATGTTAATCTCCTTGGGCAACACCCCTACAGAAACACCCAGAAACAATACTTGGCATCCTTCAATGCAATCAAGTTGACACAATATTAACCATGGCAGATCTCATCACCCAGGTAGTGAGAAAAGTGTCTGATAGGTAGTTTCTCAACCCACTTTCCTCTTTCTACATACCCTCTCTAGTGGTCTGCATGTCTGTTGTTCCCATGTTTATGTCCATGTGTGTTCAATGTTTAGCTCCCACTTATAAGTGAGAGTGGTATTTGGTATTCTGTTCCTGAATAAATTTGCTAAGGATTATGGCCCCCAACTGCATTCATGTTGCTGCAAAGGCCATGATTTCATTCATTTTTATGGCTGCACTGTATTCCATGGTGCATATGTACCACATTTTCTTTATCCATTTCAAGGTTGATGAGAATTTAGGTTGATTCCATGTCTTTGCTATTGTGAATAGTGCATTGATGAACATATGAGTACATGTATCCTTTTGGTAGAGTGATTTATTTTCCTTTAGGTGTATACCCAGCAATGGGATTGCTGGGTTGAATGGTAGCTCTGTTTTAATGCCTAAAGTTATATGATAAACTCTGTTATAAGTTCCAATCTGGTTTCCACAGTGGCTGAACTAATTTACACTCCCACCAACAGTGTATGAGCATTCCCTTTTCCTCACAACCCCACCAGCATCTGTTGTTTTTTGACTTTTTAGGAATAGCCATTCTGACTGGTGTGAGATGGTATCTCATTGCAGTTTTGATTTGCATTTCTCTGATGATTAATGATGCTGAGCATTTTTTTGTTCGTGTTCATTGGCCACTTATATGTTTTCTTTCAAGAGGTGTCTGTTCACATCCTTTGTCCATTTTTCAATGAGACTAATTTTCCCTTGTTGATTTGTTTCACTTCCCTATATATTCTAGATATTCGATCTTTCTTGGATGCATAGTTTATGAATATCTTCCCCCATTCTGTAGGTTGTCTGTTTACTCTGTTGATAGTTGCTTTTGCTGTGTAGAAGATCTTTGGTTTAACTAGGTCTCACTTGTTTATTTTTGTTTTTGTTGCAATTACTTATGGGGACTTAGCCAAAAATTCTTTGCCAAGGCAGATGTTGAGAAGAGTATTTCTTAGGTTGTATTTTAGTATTTTTATAGTTTTAGGTAATACATTTAAATATTTGGTACATTGTGAGTTAATTTTTGTATATGGCAAAAGATAGGAGTCCAGCTTCAGTCTTTGGCAATGGCTAGCCAGTTATTCCCTGTAGCTTGTTTTTGTCAGTCTTGTCGAAGATCAGATAATTGTAGGTGTATGGCTTTATTTCTGAATTTTCTATTCTGTTCAATTGCTCTATTTGTCTATTCTCGTACCATTACCATGCTCTTTTGGCTATGATAGCTTTATAGTACAGTTTGAAGTCAGGTAGTATGATGCCTCCAGCTTTGTTCCTTTTAACTAGGATTGCTTTGACTATTCAGGTTCTCTTTTGTTTTCATATGAATTTTAGAATAGTTTTTTTATAATTCTGAAAAGAATAACATAGGTAGTTTGACAGGTGTAATGTTGAATGTGTAAATTGCTTTGGCAGTATGGCCATTTAAAACAATATCTGCCTTAAGTTTAATGTTCACTCAGGAGTTATTCACCTAATGTTCACTCAGGAGTAAGTGGTTTGATTCCAACACAATTCCAGTGTGTTTAGATAGTTTTGAGAGATCTTGATATTGATTTCTAGTTTTATTACACTGTGGTCTGAAAGTGTGCTTGGTATGATTTCAATTTTTTTGAATTTATTGAGTCTTGGTTTATGACTGAGCATGTGGTTGATCTTAGAAAGTTCCATGTGCAGATGAGAATAATGTGTATTCCATGATTGTTAGGTGGATTGTCTGTAGATGTCTATTAAGTCCAATTGGTCAAGTCAGTCGAGTTGAAGTCCAGAGTTTCTTTGTTAGTTTTCTGCCTCAGTGATCTGCATAAAACCATCAGTGAGGTGTTGAAGCTTCCCAATATTATTCTGTGGCTGTTTAAGTTTTTTGTAGACCAAGAAGAATTTGTTTTATAAATCTGAGTTCTGCAATATTGGGCATGTACATATTTAGGATAGTTAAAATTTCTTGTTGGATTGTGCCCTTTATCATTATGTAATGGCCTTTATTCTTCTTAATTTTTAATGGGTTAAAGTCTGTTTTATCTGATATAAGAATAGTGACTCCTGCTCTTTTTTTACATGGTAGATCTTTCTTCATCCTTTAACTTTAAGCCTCTAAGTGTCATTGCACATAGGATGGGTGTCTTGCAAAGAATAGATGGTTGGGTCTTGTCTTTTTATCCACTTGCCACTCTGTGTCTTTTAAGTGGGGTGTTTAGCTCATTTACATTCATGACTAAAATTGATATGTATGAAACTAGCCATCATTGTGTTATTAGCTGGTTGTTATGTAGACTTGATTGGATAGGTGCTTTATAGTGCCTCTGGGCTATGTGCTTACATGTGTTTTTGTGGTAGCAGGTGTCATTCTTTTGATTCCACTTTTAGCCCTCCCTTAAATACCTCTTGTAAGGCCAGTCTAGTAGAAATGTGTTCAATTCAGCATTTGCTTGTCTGAAAAGAATTGTATTTTTTCATCACTTATGAAGCTTAGTTTGTTGGGACATGAATTTCTTTGTTGGAATTTCTTTTCTTTAAGGGTGCTGAAAATTAGCCCCCAATCTCTTCTGGCTTGTAGGATTTCTGTTGAGAGGTCTACTGCTAGCCTGAGGGGGTCCCTTCTACAAGTGACCTGCCCCTTTTCTCTAGCTACTTTTATGATATTTTTCCTTTGTGTTGACCTTTATGAATCTGATGCCTATGTGCCTCAGGGATGGTTATCTGGAATTGTATCCAGCTGGAGTTCTCTATTTCTTGGATTTGCATGTCAACCTCTCTAGTGAGTCTAGAGAAATTTTGATGGACTGTATTCTCAAATATACTTTCCATGTTGCTTATTCTCTGTCCTTCTCTGTCAGGAATGCCAATGAGTTATCAATTTGGTCTCTTTACATAATCCCATATTTCCTAAAGATTTTGTTCATTTTTGTTAGTTCTTTTTTCTTTATTTTTGCCTGACTGAGTTGATTTAAAGAGCTGATTTTTGAGCTCTGAGATTCTTTCCTCAGCGTCATCTATTCTGCTGTTCATACTTCCAATTGTTGGGGTTTTCTTAAAATGGTTATTTCATCCTTCAGCTCTTGAATTGTTTTACTGGATTGCTTGGCTTCCTTGCATTGAATTTCAGGTTTCTCCTGAATCTTGGTGAGCTCTCTTGCCAACCAGATTCTGAATTCCATATATGCAATTTTAGACATTTCAGACTGGTTAAGAATCATTGCTGGGAAGCTAGTGGGCTTGTTTAGAGTTAAGTTACAATCTGGCTTTCTTAAGCTGATTCTTTCTCAACTGGAAGTGTTGGTGTCCCTTTAACTATGGTATAAATTTAGTGTCCTCAGTTGGCTTTGTTTATGAAAGTATTCAGAGGGCTAAGACTCTGTATAGGGTCTTTATTTATTGTTTAATTCTTGCCCTTAATTCAGCACAGAGGAGTATTAGCAAGTGTGTGTGTGTGTGTGTGTGTGTCTGTGTGTGTGTGTTTTAGTTTGGGCTGTGATCTGGTAGCTGTATGGCTTCTTTTTGTATACTCCTGTTGGCAGCTGTGCTCTGCAGTGAGAGTGAGAGAGAGGTAACCCCTCACCAGGTCCACTTCTGGGCCTTGGAGGGGGGCATCTCCAATCCCTGGCACTATGTCCTCAATTTATTGTTGTTGTTAGGTGTTGTGGGCTGTAGAGCTCCCTCAGACAGAGGCCTGGCAGGTACCAGCCCTGTGAAGGGGGGCATGCCACACCAGCCCACACACCTGTGCAACTTACCCCTTCCAGTTTTCTGACAGTGTGGGCTCCTCTTACTCAATTGCCAGACACAGGTCCTGGTTCAGCACTCCTGACCCATGGGCTGTAGCCCTGGTATGCTAGGAATTGCTTGTAGCTCCCTCCTCAGTGTTGGATTCTGGTTGCTGGGATATCCAAAAGGTTAGCAGGCTGCTCAAATGCACTCTGGTGGAGCAATGCAGTCAGGCTGGGCAGAAAACTTTGCACTATGTACATATTTCCTTTGGGCAGCCAGATAGGAGCCCTTGGAGGACCTGGCAGGGAGGTGGTCCTGCAGGACAGATGTGCCCCCATCCCAGGGGTAAGTTGGCCCTACTTTCTACTGGTCTGGGGATTAACTGGGGCTAGTAGCCTCTAATAGGGAGATGGGGAGCCCTGGGGGATGGGCATTTATGGCTGGGCTCTACTAGAGCTGTCTTTTACACAAATATACCTGGCTTTGTGCCTGCTTCAGCTCTCTCCCTCTCTCTCTCTCTCTCTGTCTGATCTCAGAGGAGATTCCTTCTGCCGGCTCAAACGTCCATGGAGGTTGTTGGGTCCCCTAGAGCTAGGATGCCAGAGGTCTATGGCAAGAGTGGCAGTCTCTTCACTCACCCCTCCCCCAGGAGCCATTTGGGGCCAAGAGCCAGCCCTAGCATTCAGGAACCCCATGCGGGGTTATCAGAATCCTTGCCCTTCTGCCTAGAAATCAGTGTCTTTTTTTCATTTACATTTGGTCTTTTCGTTCTGAAGATCTCTTCAAATTATGTTGATTTAGTAGAAATCTCAGTCTCTCCCCATACGAGAGGCACTTTCCAGCTGCATCTAGTCAGCCATCTTGAAGCTGTGCCATCAGTGTTTTTTATTCAATTCGCTGTATCTCTAAACAGATGAGTTCTTCATGTAAGAGACAAATGATTCAGTACATCTCATCCTTTTTCATTTGGTCTACAGATAAAATCCTCCTTTTGGTGTTTTGGATTTAAAAACATGCGTTTCTTGTTTCCTCTTTTATTCATCCATGGTTTTGCTTTCTTAGTCATCACATTGCTATCTTGTTTCACTAGACAGGCTTCCAAAAGGACTTGAATCACTGCTGGTTTTCTGTCTCCTGGAAATAGTTTCTTACTTCCTAGTTTTTTCTCAAGTAAGTTTTCATATCTTTATTTTACTTTCTACTGCATGGAATTTTCACCAAGACACGTATCCTATGGCCAAGATTCCAGTCATGAAGGGGAAAAAGGAAACAAATGAATCGTATTTTCTGACTAGACAACATTTTAGTCTGGGTCACAATCAGCCTTTAAATCAAAGCCTTAGGATATCAATAATTCCCTTGATCAACTTATTTGTAGGCATGTAAAGAATGTAAAAGTCATTAATGAAAATGTGATACATTAATAGGTGCAACTATGACAACAGTAAAAAGATCAGTGGTTGCCAGGGGTTAAGGGAGACAGAAGAATGGTTGAACAGGTGGAATGCAAAGCACTTTCAGTGTGGTGAAACTATTCTGTATGATACGACAATGGCAAATTCATAACACTATGCCTAACACTGTATGTCACAGAGACGGATGCTAATTAAGCTATAGACTTGATGTCAATAATATGTATCAACATTGGTTCATCAATTTTAGCAAGTTTACCACACCCCTTCAAAATGTTAATAATAAGAAAAAATGGGCAGGAAAGAGTATATTAAAACTCTACACTTTCTGTTTAATTTTTCTGTAAACCTAAAATCGCTCTAAAAGTCAATTTACAATGTTATGCATGTGTTGCAATTGTTAATATAATTATGTACAAAAAAAATAGTTTGCCAGACATTGGAATTGAGAAAATTGTATGCAAATTAGATAAATGTTTTTAAAATTAGATGTGGTTTCACTCTATAGCTAATAAAATAATTATATTTGTTTACTCGACCCATTTTTTGTAGTCTATAATTATGTATTTGATTTTTATTGTTTGGTTTACTTATTAATATCTATAGTTTTAGTTATTCATGACCTCTGGAATTGATATATGTGAGGATATACTAGACCTTATGTCGTCAAATATCTATTTTTACAAAGAAAACAAAGGTAAATGTGCCATATTATTTAAGAAAAGTTAACTCCGTTGCACGATGGTGGGAAAATAACTTCAACCACTTAATGAAATTCTAGGGAAGACAGGGCACAAATGATCAAATCACTCAGTAGTACTTTATTGTTGGAAGTATAAGTAGTTTTTACTGGATATAGCTGGAAATTCAGAAAAAAATTAGGAATAATCATGGATAAGCCACTGATAGCTGATTTTATCCAGTTGTCAAAAAAAAAAAGGTAAAGTATTTTACTTTTCCACTTGGGACATCACTGGAAAATTGCTTGTCTGTGAAATTGGTTGAGAAAGTAGTGCAAGTAAACTCTAAAATTGAAATTTGATAGACATTTCTCTTTGTATTAAGGAGACAAAAGCAGATTTTAAGTTATTCAGTGTCACATGCTACTTCCTGTTTTTCACTTCACAAACTGTGGCAAAAACAATTTTTGAAAGTGTAAAATGCTGTCTTTAGAAATATTAAGTCTAGTTTTCAAAGATGAGCAATACTGTGGAAGCAGAGACATATAATAAAAATATAATAAAAACCTCTCCCAGGATCTCACTATGACACAGAGATACCATAATTATAGTATATGGATGCTAAATGCTATAGTATATAGAGACTTCTGAATAAAAACAGTAACAGAACTTTTTCATTTGGATATCTCCAACAGAAATCTATTCCAATGGATTCCTTTTAGCATTTCTGGGCAATTCCTCAGCTTCTAAGGAATGGCAGCATACCATTATCAGAAGACATCCGTGGAGCCACTAGAGTTGTTTCAGACTCATGAGACTGATGCACAGAGGTTTCAAAGTGCATGAGATTTTACCTTTCCTTTGCTTATCCTGCAGCCAATGATTGTCAGAGTAGAATTTTGAAAAGTCAGCTGACTTATCTCTCGGATTGATAAACTCTAAGATAACTTTATACTCTCCAAAACTCAATGTAGGATTCAACTTGACTATGTACATTTACTTTATATATATATATAATTTACACATATTTTATATATGTACATTTACTATATATATACATATACATGTATGTAGGTAAATGTATATATAAAGCAAATGTATACATATATAGGTAACTGTATACATAAATTTATATGTGTATATATGTATATACAAATATGTGTAAACCCACACATTATATATTCATAGTAGATACTTTAAGTGAATACCTACTGATGTTCATATTAATAGTAAAAAGAAATAAAGTACAGTATTTAACTCAGAAAAAAATCAAAGTATGTAACCGTATAGTCGCATAAAATCATCACTTAGCATATACTTTGGAGCTTGACAGTGTAGTATCAAATCAAGTTTCTCATTTTTACTAGTTATATGACTTCAATCACATATTGTTATATCTCAAGTTTCTCATTTATAATATAGTGACTATAACAGTAACAACACACAGGATGAAGAATAAAAGCTAAAATATGTGAAATGATAAAAAGATATCTTGGTACTAAGTGCTACAAATTGTTAAAAGAATAAGTAGGTCACTTGAGATTCTGTAGGTCATGCTTCTTATTTTAAATGAATAAAGAAAATTAGTAAATTATGCAAGTTTTTTAAATTCAAGTAATTGACAAGATTAGAACCCTAAACTAGAGATCTCAACTCAAGGTCTGTCTTCTTCACATTCATTCATTTTTTCATCAAATATCTATTACATTCCCAGATGTGAGAGTCACTGACAACATAGTAATGAACAACACAGGCAGATACTTCTAACATTATCAAAGTTAAACACTATTAACTTAAAAATTATAAAAAATAAAAAATATAAAGAAAGGAAAACAATTAGAATATGTAGCACATTCAGTGATAAAGAGCAAAATATAAAAAGTAAATGAACTAGGAAAAGTCAGGGATGCAATTTCAGATAGCACTGACTTGAGAGGATCTCACTGAGAAGATAACATCTAAGGAAAAACCAAAAGAAAGACAAATGCAATCTATGGAAATATTCGACCATGAGCATTTCAGATAGAGGGAACAGTAAGTACAAAAACCCTAGGGAAGTATGCATTTGGTGTATTCAAGGAACAGTAAGGCACAATGAGTAAAAGAATGTTCAGTTAGACATTAGATGAGACAGGTAAGGTGAAAAACTATAATCGCGTGCTTTGTAAATCATTGTGACTAAAACAGTCTTAAAGTTTCTTTTTTTCCACTTGATTTAAATTTAGACTGCCTTCTTCCTAATTTTCAGGCTCTTGAGCTCTCTTTTCTTAGATTATTTACTTAGGAAACTTGTAATTATAAATCCTTTCTCTGCCCTTTGAGGTGAAAATCCTTTTATAGAGCTTCTTGCCATTTTAAATAACCAGGAATGTCTTCTTCAAGGACTTGTGAGCTATTATTTTGAAATACAACCATCAAGGAAAATAACATTCCTATAGCCCAATTTTGTAGGAGTTGTAGAAGCGTAACATTGGTGATTGTTTTGTTCCAAGTTGCAAAACTACCTGCTGTCGTGAAGATATGAGAAACTTACTATTTCCCTGAATGATGACCATTAGCAAATACAGATAGCTTAACATTCTCTAGCACATTTTCCATGAGCTAACCACAGTGCTTAAAAACCTTCTTACCTTTAATTCCTTGGAATTGAGTTCAGGCTCTCTCCTCTATTGCAATAGCTTTGAATGAAGTCTTCCTTGCCAGTTTAACTTTGGTGTCAGTTTTGCTTTGACAATTATAAGAGCTCTGACTTTTACCAAGG
The DNA here is from genome assembly GCF_000001405.40 of Homo sapiens. NCBI lineage: Eukaryota > Metazoa > Chordata > Mammalia > Primates > Hominidae > Homo > Homo sapiens. The sequence continues at coordinate 303,013 of NW_003315915.1, read as the reverse complement.
GAGATGAGAAAACATTTAAGAGTTTTGAATAAATGAATCACAAGATATGTTTCGCATTTAACAGAATCATTCTGGTTCCTCTGCAGAAAACATATGTAAGGAAGGCAAAGTCATCAGTAATTTAAGAGATGGGCCTGGCACAGTGGCTCATGCCTGTAATCCCAGCACTTTGGGAGGCCACAGTAGGAATATCACTTGAGGCCAGGAGTTTGAGACTAACCTGAGCAACATAGATAGACCCCATCACCACTAAAATTTTACAAATTAGCCGAGTGTGCTATCACATGCCTGTAGTCCCAGCTATTCAGGAGGCTGAGGTGGGAGGATTGCTTGAGCCCAGAAGGTCAAGGTTTCAGTGAGCTATAATCATGCCACTGTGCTACAGCCTGGGCAACAGGGCAAGACCCAGTCTCAATTTTTGGAAAAAGAGTTAGGAAGCTCTTGCAATAAGCTAGTCTAGAGATAGCAGTAGTTGGACAAAGAAAGTAACAAAGAAAGTATTAATAATGATCAGATATGACTATAATCAAATATGGATTTTGTTTTTAAATGTTCATTTATTAGTACGGGAAAATTGCAAGAACAACACATTTAGGGTAAATAATAGTAGTTCTATTTTGTACATACTGAATTAGATCACTCTGAAATACTGAATAGGCATATGAATATAAGAATTTGAATTTAATAAAGATGTCAGTGTTAGGAAAATACATACTGCAGATACCAGCCTGTAAAAGTTCTTTGAAGAAAGGAGATTTAATGAAATCACCAAGGAGGGAAGTATAGGTATTTAAAAAAAATAAGCAAAAGTTAATACTAGGGGGTATTTTTACAAATAGTTATAGAAAAGCCAGCAAAGTGTACTGAGTGCTCAGAGAGGTAGAAATTAAAAAGCTATGTTCTAGAAGACAAGGTGCTTCAAGTATAAGAACATAGTCAACTTTACCAAAGATTTATTAAAGGTTAAATGAAATGAGGACAGAAAAAATTGGTCTTTGAATATAGCAATTTGGAGATCAATGGTGACCTTGATAATAGCAGTTGTAGTGAAATTCAGCTGACAATAGACTGAAAGGGGTGGGTTGAAAAAAAGAATGCAAGGAGATGAATTATAGAGATCAATTTTTAAAAGCTCTTTTAATAAGTTTTATAGTAAACAGAAGGAAAAACTGGCATGAAAATTGGTTTTAAAAAGGCTTGTTGTCTCTACTAAAAATACAAAAAAATTAGCCGGGCGCGGTGGCGGGCGCCTGTAGTCCCAGCTACTCGGGAGGCTGAGGCAGGAGAATGGCGTGAACCCGGGAAGCGGAGCTTGCAGTGAGCCGAGATTGCGCCACTGCAGTCCGCAGTCCGGCCTGGGCGACAGAGCGAGACTCCGTCTCAAAAAAAAAAAAAAAAGGCTTGTTTGTGCTGGGAGAATAACACCTGGTCTTTATGCTGCTGGGTGTGATCCGGTAGAGAGGAAACTAATCTTGTAAGAACAAGGCAGTAAGATTGCTAAAGAAATATTCCTATGTTCTCACTTGGGGGAGAAGGGATGAGGTGTAGTGTCAAATGGAGGAGTTCCCTTTGTAAGGAGGATAGATTGTTTATTCATTTTGACACAGAAAAGGCAGAGTATTTAGATTTATGTACAGGTAAGTGGGTAGTATAGGAAGGTAGTAGGAGTAGGAGATTTTAGATTTTCTCTTGTGGTTGCTTCTTTTCCCTCACATCATATTTTGAAAATAAAGGTAAAGACCAAGGTGTAGGTTATAGGAAAGAAGCAGCACTGGTAGGATCATGTAAGAGAATGAAGACTAGGGAAATATTGTACAATTGCCTATTGACGTTGGTCAGGTAGGGACCACTTGAGGTAACTGATCATAAATTTAATTTGAGAATTGTAACAACGGTCTTGTGTTTACCTTTATCCATGTTTTTCTGTGGATGCAGGTGTCATGTAGTAGAGATTTGATTTGTCCAGTCTTGTGATTTACAAACATGAGTACAGAAAAGCATGAAAGGGGGGGAAATGCCTGTATGTAGTATAATGATTGAATGAACATGGGTCAAAACTGTAAGCAAAGAAACAAGGCCAGAAGGAGGGAAAGGGACATTAGTGGAATCAATACTTTGCAGCATCCAATAAGCTTTAAAGTATATTCAATGAATAAAATTAGAAGAATGGTATATGATGGCTGAATAATGTGGTATCTGCAATTGCTAATGACATCTAGAATACGATTTTGCATGGAAATGTCTGAGATGAGGTTGGAGACCTAACAAGTGGAAGATGTAACATCAAAGAACTGAGAAGCCATGGTAATAGGAAAATAACTCAGGCGGGCATTGAAATCACCAAGATTTATAGCAAAGGTCGTGTTGAATACAGTATAACTGTAGTGGGAGCTAAATTTTCCAGAACATGAGGGAGAGTGGCCCAAGGATTAGCAGATAATGAAAACAAGCAGGAACAGTTGGTGGTAGAGTCTGATTTCACGCTGATTGACTTTTTCCAGTAGAGGGAAAAAGAGCAATTTGGAACAGACAATGAGAACAAGGAGGAAAATTATTCCACCTCCAGTTTCTATAAAACAAGAGGTATGGAGAAAACAATACACTAACACTTTTTCATTGAAATAGTCTCCTCAAAACAGAACCTGGGTTTAGAATGAAAAAAAGAAACGTATTGTTCAAAGAAGAGCTGCAAGGTGTAACAAATTTTGCTGATGACTGATTCTAATTTACAGATGGTTCAGTGTAAGCATTTTATTAGTTGACATGAGATAGTATATGAAATCAATAAATTCTATGTACAGAGTCCTATGGGAATTGGAATCCTAGGTGAAAGGGAGAATTGAGGTCCTTTTGGTGAATGACAGGGACAGATTTAAATGCCATAATGAGATTATACTTCATATTTCCAAGACAAAGAGTGACAGTGAGCCATGAATGTTGGAGGGGAGAGAAGAGTAGGTGTATTGGCCTGAAGCACTCAGTATTCACAGGATCCCACATGGCTCTTGTTGATGGGTATCAAGACTAACAAAAGTGAAGATCTTATTCCAAGACATTCACTTACTTTTGGTGATGGATATCTATAGTATCAAAGATCTGCTCTATCTGAGAATGGGAACCTCTCATTTGATTGCCACCAATGGAGGCTTACAGTCAGCTGATCTAACTTGGAATGAATGGCCATTCTCTTGACTTCTGCCAAGATATATAGTATTTCTCTGAGCTCTCCTCTAAGATACTTGCTGATATTTCCAACAACATTGATATGATTTGGGGATGTCCCCATCCAAATCTCATCTTGAACTGTAGCTCCCATAATTCCCTTGTGTCACTGGAGGGACCCAGTGGGAGGTAATTTAATCATGGTTGCGGGTCTTTCCCTTGCTGTTCTCATAATAGTGAAAATGTCTCACGAGATCTGATGGTTTTATAAAGGGGAGTTCCCTGCACATGTTGTCCTTGCCTGCTCCCATGTAAGACATGTGCTTCTCCTTTGCCTTCTGCCATGATTATGAGGCCTCCCCAGCCATGTGGAACTGTGAGTTCATTAAACCTCTTTCTTTTATAAATTAACCAGTCTTGGGTATGTCTTTTTTAGCAGTGTGAGAACAGCCTAATATAGTAAATTGGTACTGGGTAGTGGGGTGCTGCTATAAAGATAACCAAAGATGTGGAAGCGAGTTTGGAACTGGGGAACAGGCAGATATTGGAACAGTTTTGGGGGCTCAGAAGATAGAAAAATATGGGAAAATTTAGAACTTCCTAGAGACTTGGAGGGCTCAGAAAACAGGAAGATGTGGGAAAGGTTGGAACTTCCTAGAGGCTTGTTGAAGGGCTTTGACCAAAATGCTGGTAGTGATGTGAACAATGAAACCCAGGCTAAGGTGGTCTCAGATGGAGATGAAGAACTTGTTGGGAACTGGAGTAAAGATCACTCTTGCAAGGAAAAGAGATTGGTGGTGTTTTGCTCCTGCTATAGGGATTTGTGGAATTTTGAACTTCAGAGAGATGATTTAGAGTATCTGATAGAAGAAATTTCTAGCAGCAAAGTGTTCAAAGGGAAGCAGAGCATAAAAGTTTGGAAAATTTGCAGCCTGAAAGTGCAATAGAAAAAGAAAAACCCATTTTCTGGGGAGAAATTGAAGCTGGCTGCAGAAATTTCCATAGGTAACAAGGAGTTGAATGGTAATCACTAAGCCAATGAGGAAAATGTCTCCAAGACATGTCAGAGACCTTCATGGCAGTCCCTCTCATCACATGCCTGGAGACCTTCATGGCAGCCCCTCTCATCACATGCCTGGAGGCCTAGTGGGGAAAAATGGTTTTGTGTGCCAGGTCCAAGGACCCCCTGCTCTATTCACCCTTAGGCTATGGTTTCCTGTGTCCCAGCTGCTTCAGCTCTGGCCTCAGCTAAAAGAGGTCAATGTACAGCTCAGGCCATTGCTTCAGAGGGGGTAAGCCCCAAGTCTTGGCAGCTTCCACGTGGTGTTGGTTCCATAGGTGCACAGAAGTCAAGAATTGAGGTTTGGGAACCTCGGCCTAGATCTCAGAGTATGTATGGAAATGCATGGATGTCCAGGCAGAAGTTTGCTGCAGGAGCGGGGCCCTCATGGTGAACATCTGCTAGGGCAGTGTAGAAGGGAAATGTAGGATTGGAGCCTTCAGAGTGCCCACTGAGGCACTGCCTAGTGAAACTGTGAGAAGAGGGCCACCATCCTCCAGATCCCAGAATGATAGACCCACCAACAACTTGCACTATGTACCTGGAAAAGCCACAGACATTCAAAACCAACCCATGAAAATACCCTGCAAATTCACAGAGGTGGAGCTGCCCAAGACCATGAGAACCCACCTCTTGCATCAGCGTGACCTGGATGTGAGACATGGCATCAAAGGAGATTATTTTGGAGCTTTAAGATTTGACTGCCCCACTGGATTTTGGACTTGCATGGGACCTGTAGCCTGTTTTGACTAATTTCTCCCATTTAGAATAGCTGTGCTTACCCAATGCCTTTACCCCCATTTTATCTAGGAAGTGACTAACTTGCTTTTGATTTTACAGGCTCATAGGTGAAAGGCACTTACCTTGTCTCAGATGAGACTTTGGACTATGGCCTTTGAGTTAATGCTGAAGTGAGTTAAGACCTTCAGGACTGTTGGGAAGGCATGATTGGCTTTGAACTGTGAGGACATAAGATTTAGGATGGGCCAGCAGTGGAATGATATAGTTTGGCTGTATCCACACCCAAATCTCATTTTGAACTGTAGCTCCCATAATTCCCATGTGTTGTGGGAGAGACCCGGTAGGAGGTAATTGCATCATGGGGGCAGATTTTTCCCCTGCTGTTCTCATGATGGTGAAAAGGTCTCTCAAGATCTGATGGTTTTATAAAGGATAGTTCCCCTGTACACACTCTCTTTGTCTGCCACCATGTATGAAATGCATTTGCTTCTCCTTTGCCTTCTGCCATGATTGTGTGGCTTTCCCAGCCATATAGAACTGAGTCCATTAAACCTCTTTCCTTCATAAATTACTCAGTCTCAGGTATGTCTTTATTAGCAGTGTGAGAACAGACTAATACAAACATACTTCTAAATATACATATATCATATATGTAATAGCATGCACATATATACAGACACACACACAAATATACCCACACAGCCATATATACATATATACATATACTCTTTCTTTCTCTTTTTTTTTTTTTTTTTTTTTTGAGACAGAGTCTCGCCCTTTTGCCTGGGCTGGAGTGTAGTGGCACAATCTCGGCTCACTGCAAGCTCCGCCTCCCGGATTCACGCCATTCTCCTGCCTCAGCTTCCCAAGTAGCTGGGACTACAGGCGCCTGCCACCACGCCCGGCTAATTTTTTTGTATTTTTAGTGGAAATGGGGTTTCACCATGTTAGCCAGGATGGTCTCGATCTCCTGACCTCGTGATCCGCCCATCTCAGCCTCCCAAAGTGCTGGGATTACAGGCATGAGCCACCGCGCCGGGCCTTTCTTTCTCTTTAATATGATGCTATTTTTGTTTTGATGCCCGTCTTTCCCAAATTTAGTATGACAGGGTAGCCTATGCTGTCCAACTTATACCTTAAGATGGTAACACACAGAGATATATATATATATATATATACAGATATATATATATATATACATATATATATATATATACACACACAGAGAGAGAGAAAAAAGAGAGAAATAAATGTTATATTTTATAACAAGGGAAATGTAAATATTCCTAATGCATTTATTTAACTATACCTATTTATTGAGTTCCCACCGAATACACATTAATGGGTGCAGGGAAATAAAGACAGTTTTGTCTTATGGCAAACAAGACTGTTGGCATATTTTCCAATAAGAAAAACTAGAAAATGACATATATTAGAGGTCCCTAAATTAGGTTGGAAAGTCAGGAAAAAAACTCTATATTTCATAATTTATTTTATTATGCTAACATGCTTTTGAGTGGACTCTAGGAAACAGAATCATTTACAATAAATTCCTATTACTACATCTGAATACCAAAAGGAACTAAGGTACTAAAATTAAGTGGTTCTACTGGAAATAATTTTAGCAAATATGAATAATTTGCCATTGTGTCATCACCAATTCATTAAAGAGATGTTTTTTAAATATCATACTGTTTACAATAAAATGAATAAAAAGTATTTCTGCCCTCACAGTACTCACAGACTAATGAAAAAGCCAATCATGGAAACAAATAACTGAAATACTAAATGATAGGTACAGCCTATGAATAGATCCCCAGAAGAGAAATGCCTATTCACGCTGGAATGATGATAAAGGGAATTAGAGGGGATTTTCTCAAGAAGATGATTTCTGATTTATCTTTTAAATAACATTTAAAATTAGAAAGTCCTCCCTAGAAAAAACATGGACAAAATGAATACTACCTATTCCCTCTTTCTTTCTGTTTAATAATATGCTATTTTTGTTTAGGTGCCCATCTTTCCCAAATTTAGTCATGACAGGATAGTCTGCACTGCCCATCTTATACCTAAATATGGTAATTGCATCATAAATAATCATATTACTTAATTCCAACCAATGATACATGAGAAAAAATGTACAGGTGGCTACCTAAAGAAAATTTACTGACTCCTGAAGGAAAATAACAGCAAAATAAAGTAATTTTATATATATACATAATTATATTTATATATAGTTACATATTTATATAATAATTTATATTATCTTATAATTTAATATATAATATATATTTTATTTGATATACTATATAGTATATTATAATTATATACATTTTATATAATATAAAAATATATAATTCTATACATATATTACATTACTATATTTTGCTATGATTTTTCTTTTGGAGTCAGTAAATTTGTATAAATATAAATGTACAAATAAATACGGTCAGTGAATATATATGTGTATATATATACACATATGTGTGTGTGTGAATTTATAGATATATATGTATTGCTGTGTAGCATTGTAAACCTTGAATAGCTACTAGGCTGGATATAAAGCTGATACCTAATATGGCAGAGATGAAAAAGGAAAAGTTTTTGGATATTCATGACAAGTGCCTGGACATTGCTGTGCAGATTGAGTCAATCAAACCTGAAGTCTACCTTATGTTTGGACTATTCGTCTTTTCAATCCCCGAATTAGCTTTAATTCAGTAAATTCTTTAATAATTTCTGCCTAAATTATTCTTCAATAATTTCTGCCTAAAATTCCGAATTGTATTTGCAAATCAATTTTTAAACTATTTCTAATCGTATCTTTCTCACATGTTACATAAACTTTTATAAAATAAGCATAAACATATGGATACGTTTAAATATAACAATGAAATATTTCTGCTGGATTTTACATTAACAGTTTTGAACTGGGATATATCTTACATGATTTAAGGAAAAATGTACTTTACCATTTTTCACATATCAGTATTGGAGTACTTTCTTTGTATCTTCAATGGACTGTGAAAGTCCTAACAACTTGGGATGGCCACTTTACTGGTTGAGACACACTTCAGTGACCTGAAATCAATGCCCATTTGTCACCACTTCTTATCATTTGATCTTCCCACTTCCCATTGTCACATTGTTTGATTATGTAGCTAAGCATCAAAGCACTCCTTATTCAGTGTTCTTAGCTAGATTTTACAGCCCTGACTTTTGTGTTAAAAGAATCTTTAAAATCCAAGTCTACCAGTAGATTATGTAACATATCATGTGGCTTGACAATGTTTTCACTAATGCCTAGAAAACCATAACTATTTTTCTTTATTCAAAGATATGACCACAATGTACATACAAGTCATCATGCATGTATATGAAATTTGAAGCATGTTTCATTACTTCACATTAATGGGAAAATTTAATTATGGAGGCTGACAGGTGAACACATTAATATCCCTGTAAGGTGAACAATAGGCAGTTACAAATATTTCAATATCTGAGTGGAATCTGCAAAAATATTAAGTGTTTTTGAGAAAAGTGTTCTATGTTCCAACAAGTTTGGGAATATGCAGTGGGATATATAGAGGTCACGTCTTGATCTCTCAGCTTCCTTTAAGGCCCATTTCTCTTGCATCTGTGGCCAACCATATAACCACTGGGCCAACCATAGTACTGCTGGCATCAGTAATCATTTCATTGACAAGCACAACATCTAAGTGTGTCCAATTAGAGCTCTTCTCCGAGCACACCTTCTGATTCACCAATCACAGAGAATGAAAACCTACATATGTCAGTGGTCCTTTTGATACACACAGAGAGATCCCCTCTGTAGAATGTAGCCAACAGACAGAAATAAACAGATAAAGAAGTAAGAAAATGATAGGCATCAATGATGAAAAATTTACTCTTCCATCCAGACATCCCACAATTTCTCCTATGAGCACATTAATACACAATAAATTGCTTTATTAGAAAATGTAGAGTTTGTATTATTTAAAATTTTAAAAAGCTCTGGATATTTCAACATACTCCTATACCACATGATTTCACAGCAACTTTTTAAGGTTAATTTATATCAAGGATCTCCAAGAAGAATGGCCAAACTAATTTAACTATGAAATTTATTTTTCTTTTTCTGAGGTGATAAACACATGCTAGATTATGCAGTCTCACAGCTCTGAAAGTCAAGCCCTGCACTAGGCTAAGTTAGTCAAGAAAGAAGGTTATTAGGCATGTGCTTGTAAAATTGTCATTTAGATCCATATTTTTTCTTAATCATATATATATATATATATTTGAGACAGAGTCTCACTCTGTTGCTAATAAGCCAGCTCAATGAAAACACACACATACATATATACACCAAAACCAAAAATCACTATCTAGGTTTCTGATTTCCTCGATGTAGCCCTGGCTAATTTTAAACAACCAATATTAGTGTCTGACTGATGCCCTGGGAAGAGATGCTAACCATTGATTCTGTTTGGCTGGTACAAATTGACACATCACTCTTTAAACTCACTTTGCATGAAAGGTTTGCTCAATGTAACATGACCCTATCCTACAGACTGAGTTCAATTCATCTGACAAAAGGCACCAGGGAAACACCATCTTCTGTATTTGGTGGCTAGACAAAGGAATGTTTCCAAAGTAAACTCAGACAGGATTCTAAATGGTAAGAAAGCCAAGGGCTTACTAAATTTGTATGGCCTGTTCATATATTTGTGGAAGTATCACTACAATATTTTATCAGAATCACACATTTTTACCAATTCATTAATTTTACTAATTAAATTCCATTTCTAAAATCAAACTTTCTAATTAACAAACTTTTAATTTACTCCATAAAAATCTATTTTGAAAACTGATTAATTAAGAACATGTCTGGGGCTGCTCAGTGACAAATATAGCTAAATTATGAAATGTGGACTTCTCTTTGGATAATAATTTTAAATAACAGTAACTGACAACTCCCTGAATATAGACAAAAACACACTAGCACATGTATGACAATAATTGACATACTAAATAATAGTGACTGCCTCTAGATGTAAAATAAATTTGAATAGTCTAAGTCAATGACAATAGTGATCATTGTTGTGAATCATAATTTGTCCCAGTTGGAGCCAATGAGGAAATGTCTATCATAGGAGAGCTGAAAAAACCACGAAAGACAGATATTCAATTTTCTGTTGTATGTTACACTTCTAACTGGATGTCAGGAATTATAATAACCAAATTGTGCCTATCATGGCAGCTAAATTAATGGGAAAACTCAAAGTGCTGTGGACTGTACAGCAGAAATATGAAAAGAATCTGTGCATTTAATTATGTTATTAGCACAGAATTAGAAACACTAAGAACTTTCCTAATGTATGTTTTTATATAAGATAATACATTTACATAATTTTAAAATCATATTTATTTACTTGTCTGTAACCTGGCTAGAAGACATCCTACCCTATATAAATGTGTGTCTGTATCTGAAGAGCCTGATTGATTAGCATGTTTTCTCAGGCATCAACAAAAATCTACCCATTATTTAGAAGATTCTAAATAATTCTCATTGCAGAATGAGTAGATATAAGAAATAGAATGATCTCTATTGTTTGCATAAGAATTCTTTTGATGATATATGATCATATATCAAAATTTAAAATAACATATATCTCTAAACATATATGCATAAAAATAAGATTAATACTAAGAAAGAAAAACAAAACAAAAAAACATATTTGGTAAACCCAAACCATACTTTTGGCATATTTCTTACACTGTGGCTAGAATATTGATATTTTTCACCATATTTAAAAATTATTGTATACTCAAGACAAATACTTATTAGCTGCCTGGATGTGGTATTTATGATAGTTTTGGTTTGAAAAGCAATCTTGGGGGAATATGTTATTACATTTTTTAATTAAACTGGAGCAAAAATGTTTATAGTTATTCAATTTTATTAATTTTATTTTTAAAAACAAAACATAAATAGTATGTTCCTATTACAGTTGAATCCTGGAGATGTTGGAAAGAACTAAATCACAAACTTTAAAAATCATAATCTTTTTAGTTTTTTCACAATGTCAAACATACTTTTGAAACTTTTTTTTGTGTAAGTTCATTTTGATATGTTTTGGCAAAGTTCTTCCTTGTGATAAACAATGGCAAATAGTACTCTTAAAACTTACGAGATTAGAGCAAAACATGGTTAACAAAAATAAATCAGGAAAATAATATTACCGATAGAGATCTGCAATAACCTCTGAGAATATGAAGCTTATCCAAATTCTGTACCCAAAAAAGAGATACATACATTTCAAATAGATAAGAAGTGATGTTGTGGCTGCCACAACAGGAATAAAGAGTCATGTAAGCTATGAACATTCCTGGTTTTCTGGGTCTTTCCACACTCTAACCCCATACCCGCCAACAAACAAACAAACCAAAAATCCACATTGAAGGAAGACTACAAAGAAATATCAAAGAGAACAGAATTTCTTCCAGTTCCCTGTGGTAACTACTCTCTCACCATGACCTCCAACAATTTTCTTCCTCTGTGTCCATATATACATTTCTCACAGCAACAGGTGGACGTTATTTCATCTGCTCTTGAATCTGTGCAGGCCTTATGATTGGCCTTAATAATGAAATGTGTCACAGTATGGGACTTTCCATTCCAGCCTTAAAAGGACTGCCAGTTTTCACTTTATGCCTCTTAGAACTCAGTCATCACTCTGAGAGAAGCTCAAACCACATATAGAGGCCAAGCAGTTAAGGACAGAGGTGTTTCATTTGACAGCCCCAGTTGAGACTCTGCACTAACTGTCTGCACCAACAACCAGCTGTGTGAATGAGCCATTATGGACATTCCAGCCAAGCCACTTAGTTTACTGCAGAACACAGAATCCTCACAGAATCATGAAAAATAATAAAATTGCTACTCTTTAATCCACTAAATCCTGTGTTTGTAAAATATATACAGCCATAGTTAACTGAGAAAATCTTCCAGACCCACCTCCTATCAGCATTCATGAGTTTCAACTTTGAGAATCATCAGTCTTAAAATTTGAATTGACCTGCTTTTGTATTCCTACAATCTAACTGAAGACACTTGTGTAGTTAAATAAAAGAAATAAGATGATATTTGAAAGACACTGAGAAGGGAACTTGGCAAACTGCGATACATGACAATGATATCTCTCTCAATATCTTTGTAGTGTATGGAAACATTACAAATAATGGACTTTCCATTATTTGGCAGTGTTATTTGTAAATACAGGATGCTTTGTGCATATATTAAATTTGTATCTTGTAGAGATTTCAGATGTTGAGAACAGAAAATCTGAAGGGATTTTTGAAAAACAATAAATACTATAAGATTAAATAAAATTAAAATTGGCTTACAAAGAGAAAAAGCCACAGATGTACTTGATAAGCTCCGAGAGACCGAGATTTTGAAGGGCATTGTAAACTCAACTAATAACTTTAGATATTTTTATACAGGTATTAGCCATTTTAGTGTTTCAAGTAGGCGGTTGTCATATTTGAGCCTGAGGGGAAAGAATGTTTTGTAAGACTAATGGTATTAAAGTGAAATATAGCCCTTCCACTTATGTTCATAAGAAAGTAACAGGGTCTGAAATTACTTTTCTGACACAAATGCCTGGAAAAAATTGATCAAGTATGTGACTATATATATATATGTATATATATCGAGAGAAAAAGAGAGTAAATATTGTTTTCTTACACAAAAAAGTTATAAGTATTTTAGTTAATACATATGCTATTTGTTTGATCTAGCCATTCCACAATATATACTACATCTTCATATCGTATACCTTAAATATATAAAATTTTGTGTGTCGATTTTTTAAAAATGTAAAAAAAAAAACCAGCAATTTGCAGATATCAGGTAACAAGCAGCACTAGAATAGTATTTTCTAAAATAAGGAACATACTGAATTGAGCTCTACCATTGCCAAGACTTTCTGCCTGGAGCCAGTTTTCAGTACATGATATAGGGAAATAGAACCTGGCATGCTCACTGAATGAAAGAGACAGCAATTTGAGTTCAGGGAAGCTGAACTGACTAGAATTTACAGGGTACAATTCCAGAGAGGAGAGAGCCAGGGGGAGAAGGAATTTCATAATTTGCATAGGGTTTTCTGTGAGTCTTTGGCTATATGCCAACCTGCACATGCATTGGCCAGAAGTCCATGAGACTGGGCAAAAAATTGCAAGAAAAAAAGAAAAGAAAAGAAAAGAAAAAGAAGGGAGGGAGGGAGGGAGGGAAGGAGGAAGGAAGGAAGGAAGGAAGGAAGGAAGGAAGGAAGGAAGGAAGGAAGGAAGGAAAGAAGGAAGGAGAAGGAGGAGGAGAAAGAAAGAAGAAAGAGAGAGAGAGAAAGAAAGAGAAAGGAAAGAAAGAGAAAGAAAGAAGAAGAAAGAAAGAAAGAAAGAAAGAAAGAAAGAAAGAAAAAGAAAGAGAAAGAAAAGGAAAGAAAGAAAGGAAGGAGGGAGGGATGGAGGGAAGAAGGAAGGAAGGGAGGAAGGAAGACAGGAAGGCAGGAAGGAAGGGAAGGTGGAAAAAAAGGAAGAAAGAAAGGAAAGGAAGGACAAGAGTAAGGGAAAGGGAAAGGAAAAAGTAAAGGCAAACGAGGAAACCATAAGACAATTACCAGAGCATTGGATTGGCATAAAAACAGACACACAGACCAATGGAACAGAATAGAGAACTCAGAAACAAATTCACACACCTACAGTGAACTCATTTTTATATAAAAGTGCCAAGAATATACACCGGGGAAAAGACAGTCTCTTCAATAAATGGTGTTGGGAAAACTGTATATCCATATGAAGAAGAATGAAAGCAGACCCATATCTCTGGCCATATACAAAAATCAAATCAAAATGGATTAAATATTTAAATTGAAGACCCCAAACCATGAAACTCCTATAAGAAAACATTGAAGAACATTTCCAGGACATTGGTCTGGGAAAAATTTCTTGAGTAATACCCCAAAAGCCCAAGCAATCAAAGCAAAAATGGACAAATGGGATCACATCAAGTTAAAAAGCTTCTGCACAGCAAAGAAAGCAATCAACAGATTGAAGGTACAACCCACAGAATGGAAGAAAACATCTGCGAAATACCCATCTGACAAAGGATTAATAACCAGAATATATAAGGAACTCTAACAACTCTATAGGAAAAAATCTAATAATTCAATCAAAAGATGGGCAAAAGATTTGAATAGACATTTCTCAAAAGAAGACATTCAAATGGCAAACAGGCATATTAAAGGTGCTTGCGGGGCACGATGGTTCATGCCTGTAATCCCAGAAATTTGGGAGGCTGAGGCGGGCAGATAACCTGAGGTCGGGAGTTCCAGACCAGCCTGATCAACATGGAGAAACCATATCTCTATTAAAAATACAAAATTACCCGGGTGTGGTGGCACATGTCTATAATCTCAGCTACTCGGGGGGCTGAGGCAGGAGAATTGCTTGAACTCGGGAGGCGGAGGTTGCAGTGAGCCGAGATCACGCCATTGCACTCCAGCCTGGGCAACAAGAGCAAAACTCCATCTCAAAAAAAAAAAAAAATATATATATATATATATATATATTTGGGCGTGGAGGTGTGTGCCTGTAATCCCAGTTACTCGGGGGCTGAGGCAGGAGAATCACTTGAACCCAGGAGCTAAGATTGGGCCACTGCACTCCAGCCTGGCGTTCTGTCTCAAAAAAAAAAAAAAAAAAAAAAGAAAAGAAAACGTGCTCGACGTCATTGATCATCAGATAAATGCCAATCAAAAGTATAATGAGATATTATCTTACCCCTGTTAAAATGGCTTATATCAAAAGACAGGCAATAACAAATGCTCTCAAGGATGTGGAGTTAAGGCAGCCCTTGTTCACTGTTGCTGAGAATGTAAATTAGTACAACCACTACAGAGAACAGTTTGAAGGTTCCTCAAAAAATCTAAAAATAAAGTTACCATGTTATGCAGCAATCCTAGTGTTGCCGATATAATCGAAAGAAGGAAATCAGCATATTGAAGAGATATCTTCACTCCTATGTTTGTTGCAGCACTGTTTACCATAGCTAAGATTTAGAAGCAACCTAAGTTTCCATCGACAGATGAATTAATTTTTAAAAACATGCTACATATTCACAGTGGAGTACTAATGAACCATAAAAAAGAATGAGATCCAATCAATTGCAACAACATAACAAAATGAATGGAACTGGAGATCATTATGTTAAGTGAAATAAGACAGGCACAGAAAGACAAACGTATGTTCTCACTTATTTATGGAATCTAAAAATTAAAACAAACTCACGGACATAGAGAGTAGAAGGATGGTTACCAGGGACTGGGAAGACTAGTAGGGCACTGTGGGAGAGGTGGGGATGGTTAATGGGTATAGAAAAAATAGAAAGAATGAATAAGACCCACTATTTGATAGCACAACAGGTTGACTATAGTCAATAATTACTTAACAGTACTTTTTTTTAATAACTTAAGAGTGTAATTGTATTGTTTGCAACTCAATGGATAAATGCTTAAGGGAATGGATACTCCGTTGTTTATGATGCACTTACTTCACATTGCATGCCTGTATCATATACCCCACAAATATATACATTTACTATATACCCACAGAAAATAAATATTAAACAATTAAAATTAACTGAAAATAACAAAACACAAAACATAAATTTCAAACAAAACAAAAACCTAGTAAAAAAAATGCTTTGCTATGAACTATCAGCTAGAAAGAGAATAGGCCCAGCATGTACAAGTTTTTGGGTTCCCTGGGTCACATTGGAAGAAGAATTGACTTGGGCCACACATAAAATGCACTAACACTAACACTAGCTGATGAGCTAAAAATAAAATAAAATAAAATAAAAATCTACACATAATTTTCGTGATATCTGCCACCACAGATAAGCAAATATGTCCTTGCATTCAAAGGGTTGGACAAGCTAAGCTATCGTAAGTGTAAAAACCTGAGTTACAAAGCATATATGCCAAAAAGAAAAAAAGAAAGAAAGAAAAGACAACGTGTTTCTGTGATGGTTAATTTCATGACTCTACGTGACTCAGTGAAGGATTACCAAGATAGCTGGTAAGACATTATTTCTGGGTGTGTCTGTGAGGATATTTCCAGAAGATAATAGCATTTGAATCAGTAGGCACAATAAAAAAGATTCTTCCTCACCAATGTGGTTGCTCATCATCCAGTCCATTGAAATTCTACCCAAATAGAACAAGCAGGAAGAAAACAAGAGAATTCTGTCCATTTTCTTAAGCTGGGATATCCATCTTCTCCTGTCCTTGGACATTGAATCTCATGTTTAACTTCAGACTGGGAGCCTTCACTAAGCCATTTAACTTCAGACTGGCTTTCAGTCTGAAGTTAACCATGCAGATTGTAATTCCTAGAGTCTGAAGGGCCGAGAACCATATATATTGATTATCTTTCTCTGGAGAACCTAAACTAACACAGTTTTTTAATGTTCTTTAGAGCTGGAGAACTCAGAAATAGCCAACAGATATTCATCTTTAAATGGAGGGGTCCCCAATATATGTATAAAGTTTAATGGCATGCTTTGAGAATAGCAACCAAAACTAGGAACAACCTTTATAGTCTCCAATTTACTGACAAATGAAGAGACCACTGGAAATTCAGTGAGTTTTAGGATGCTTTTATTTCATAAACTCTGGCAATTTACTACTGAAATTTCCTTCTATTTTAATATACAACTTGACATTTCAACAGTATAAAATTTGAGAAAGTCAAATCCAAATTGAATAGAACAGGAAATTTGGGTACAACAACAAAAGGTCTGAATAAAAGTTGAAGGAGGCCAGGTGCGGTGGCTCATGCCTGTAATCTCAGCACTTTAGGAGGTTAAGGCAGGTGTATCACTTGAGGTCAGGAATTCAAGACCAGCCTGTCCAACATGGTGAAACCCTATCTGTACTGAAAAATACAAAAAAAATTAGCTGGGCATGGTGGTGTGCTCCTGTACTTCCAGCTACTGTGGTGGCTGAGGCAAGAGAATTGCTTGAACCCAGGAGGCAGAGGTTGCAGTGAGCTGAAATCATGCCACTGCATTCCAGCCTGGGTGACAGAGAGACTCTGTCTCAAAAAAAAAAAAAAAAAAAAAAAAATTTGAAGGAGAACACAGGATTGGCATGTTTTATAAAATTAAGTAAGTTCAAATGTTATAACACTTGTAACAAGAAAAAAAGAAGCCCTAGAGATTCAGTCTCAAAACCTCTTATTCCTACACAGCAACTACCTCCTATAGAAATATGTACCTCACCTAAATATAAGACAGAGAAAATGATTAAAATCAAACTTTATATTAATACAAAAGGAAATATAAAACAGAATAATTGTTTTACAAACAAGAATTCCCATGGAAAATATGTACTCACAAAACATAAAACTGTAAACTAACATTTTGAAAATATTTAAATTTAAAAAAAACTTTAATCTGTATGTATTAGAATTTTTAAAACTCAGAAATGAGATGATTTGACAAAGAAAGACATGAGAACAGAGCATACAGAGACCAACAAAAAAATGGAAGTGAAAGAGAAAAATCAGTTTAGAAATACAGTTTGAAATATGAGGAGAACAAGAGTAACTAACATAACACAAAATAGCATATCAAAAATCTAGGATAAAAATGTAGGAAAAACCCACATTTAAAATGAGATTAAAATAACTGTGAGAAAGTAGTAAATATAGAGGATTAAAAAAGAGGAACCAACATATGTATAATAAGAAGCTGTAAATAGGAAAACCAAAGCTAGAGAACAATGTGAAAGGAAAATCTTGGGACCCTAAAATCACTAAGCCAAAGGGAGAAGTCAAGTTGGGAACTGTGTAAAGCAAACCTGCCTCCCATTCTATTTTTAAATAAGACAGATACAGAGATTTTTAAAAATAATAATAAAGCTACAAAACCTCCCTCACAACTTGCCCACAAAGAAGTTCCTTGTGGACAAAGGACAGGCAGAATTCAAAGTAATCCCTCTGCTCATGTGAGATAAATACATATCAAATTATTTCTTTTGCCCTATTGTTTCACTAAGCCAGACTAAGGCATAAGTGACTATTTTTGTAGATTGTGCATTCAGCAAAAGGCTAATCAGAAACTCAAAGGAATATGTTTGTCTCTTATCTTCCTATGACCTGGAAGCCCCCTCCCTGCTTCAAGTTGTCCCACCTTCCTGGACCTAACCAATGTAAATCTTATATATATATTGATTGATGTGTCATGTCACCCGAAAACGTATAAAACCAGCTGTGCCCCAACCACCTTGGGTACATGTCTTCAGGACTTCCTGAGGCTGTGTCACAAGTATGTTCCTAACCTTAGCAAAATAAACTTTCTAAATTGATTGAGATCTGTCTCAGATACTTTTTGGCTTACAATAAGTATGCAGTCATATACTGTTGTATGTTTAAGAGAACTTGGTCCTTTGGAATAACTGCTTTGTAACCTAAATTTAAGATATGTAAGGCAGTAGCTGATTTAACATTCTAATTTGTCTTAAAGTCTTTTAAAATATATTCATGGTTCTGCAACATTTAAGAGAATTTTAGGTTCACTGTAGTTGTAAATTATATGTATTTATATTTATAAAAGTTATTTAAGTACTCAGAAAATTATTTTATCTGAAAATTAAATTCTGAAGAATAATTCAAATAAATATGCAGGTTCTCTCTACATATTTAAAAAGAAGTTTTGAATTTAATTTACAGGTGAGAATAGAATTATTCAAAGTTTATTAAAATATGCCTGACTCATGCATACTCTGCTAAGATTTGCAAGCTGAATGTAAAAACCTACAAAAGAAGTCAAGTTTTGAAACGGAAACTTTAAAATTCCTGAATAGACTCTCTACATTCAAAAACAACCCTTATGACAACAAAAACTTACATCACAATTAGCTTAGGAGACTTTAGTTCTTGAGACATAATTTCACCCAAGAACTTATAGATGTGACTTGTCCAGGAGGGTTTCTAGGAGGGCAGTCACTTATCTTTGTAGTTAAAATAAGAAAAAGGGTACTTGTGCATTATAGAAGTTTTCTCCCGCTGCCTTTGCTATAATTTCCTATAGTAAGTTGTTCTGAGAAAAATACATACCGCTTAGGAGAAGGACCTCAGCTATAACTTTCATTTTGCACTGTAGAGGTAGTACAGTACTAAAAGGGAAAGCAAAGTTCAGAATATTTAGGCCAGAGGCTCTGAGCCTGCCTCATTAGCACTTCAACTGATCACTCTAGAGGAATGAGCATCAATTTGAATGATGTGTGCAGTGCCCTCTTCTCTGGGAGCAGCTGTTCCACTTTCCCTTTTTATGAACTACTTACATGAAAGAGACAACTACTTCTTCAAGAGATGCCCTGATTGGAGGAATAAGAGCATAATCCCACAGCACCAAGCCTGTGAGTGAGGAGTGATCATTTACTTTTAAAAAAGTGGGCTATATTCTCACAAACACACACATCGCCACATAGACACTAGTATTCCAATATACAAACCTGCATATTTTCCTTAATCCAGGAAGTATAATGTTGAATCACAAAATAATGGACT
Source organism: Homo sapiens (assembly GCF_000001405.40). Lineage (NCBI taxonomy): Eukaryota > Metazoa > Chordata > Mammalia > Primates > Hominidae > Homo > Homo sapiens. The sequence continues at coordinate 283,416 of NW_003315915.1, read as the reverse complement.
TTACATTTAAAGAAAAAACAAAGGGAAACAATTTAGAATGTTAAACCTGCGGGAAATTTCAGAGGTTATGATCTGTGCTCTCTCATTTCAGTGTCTGTAACACAAAATACATTAAATAAACTTCCCAATTTTACAACTAACACCTTATGAGTCTAAGAAAGACATGTTTGGCTTCCAGTTCAGTGTTTATTTTACTTAATAATTATAGAACCAACATTAGATTTTTCTGTGAATACACACAAATTAGATGACACATAATATTTACTATTCTACTGGCTTTACTCTTAGGAATCCTCTTTGGAGCATGTTTGTAGAAACTATATACCATAACTGTCAATTTCTTCCTCTTATTTAAGGAGATGCATGTTTCCATTAACTTTACAAATAACTTATGAGATACTCTGGCTTACTTTCCTATTTTATATATCCTTTTCCTCATTAAATTTATCCTAACATAAGTAATTTGAAGTTGGGAGCCAACTGATAAGTGTGCATGAGAGATGGAAATATTGAACTTAACATAAAAAACTTGGAACTTATCCAAAGCAAGAAAGCATGATTCCTGTGCTGTCTTCTGTACCTCTAGGGGAAAATCCTACTCTTGCTTCCAAATCTCTTCCTCCAGACAGAAAGAACTGGGTAATAATCCAACTTGAGCCAGGTTTTCCATCATTCAGTTGATTTCCCCTTCTGAAAGGATGTACATCTGGCTCATAACAGTTTGACGTACTGTGTCAAGAGCACAATGGGATTTCAAAGCAGGTTGGCCATAGGCTTCTCAAAATAACAGACAAGGGCAAAGAGCTTTGTTCTTTTCACAAAAGAACCACTGTCGTCACTCTCCATCCTATAAAGCAATTCCTGCAGGAGCTTGTTACAAGTGATTTTTCTTGAATTTGTGACCTTTAAATTTATGTGTGGCTGTGCACCAAGAAAGGCTGTTCTCATAAGATACAGTGAGTGAAATATTTAAGGCCCTTGGTTGTCTGAGAAGACTGCATATGGAAGGTCATGAATTGCTTGGATTTTTTTGGCAATGCTGTTTTAATCAAGTGTAGTTCTTTATTCAATTTGCAAGCAAACACTCATAGAGGAGATATATAATCTTCCGTTTAAACAAGCTGGAGATTCGAAAGAGTTGGACCACGAAACCCATTTTAGGACTCTAGAGCCTTTTTCATAAGAAAAAAACTGTTACAGGAATCCCAATGAGGCTCCTCAGTACATCAGTTTCATATTTTGGAATGCAAAAATACAAGCAGAAAAATTAAAATTCAAAGTAAAATTAAACAAAGGCAAAAATGGTACTCTTAGGAGACCAGAAGAGTCAGTAGGGAGTTTCTTTATTTCAGATGTTTTGCATTTTCTCAGAGTAGAATTGCTCATCATAAGCTGTATAAATTGGACTTTTAATGTTTGAACTTTATGTTACCCAACTGCTTTCCAGGAATATCTGTTTTGTTTTTGAAGATCGGTAGACTCTTTTCCTCCCACTGTCTTTTCTCCAGTCCCTTCTCACTCTCTTCATTACAGCATCAAACACAAGATTTTTGAAAGTCGATTTTCTAAGTACTTCTCTCTCTCAATTTGCTAAGACTGCCATAACAAAATACCAAAGACTGAAGGCTAGAAGGACAAGATCAAGGTGTCAGCAGATCTGGTTTCTTCTGAGACCTTTCTCCTTGACTTGCAGATCATTGCCTTCTAGCTGTGTACCCAGATGATTTTTTTTCTCTTTGTGTATATAATCTGGTGTCTTCTGTGTGTCCAATCTTCTTCTTTTTTACAAGGACACTACTCACGTAAAATTAGGGCCCATCCGAATGGCCTAATTTTAACTTACTTTAAATATTGTTGGGTACTGGGATCAACACATTTTTTGATCACATTTTTTGATCACATTTTTTTGACACGAATTTTGAGGGATATACAATTTAGCCCATAGCATGCTCCATCAATATATTCTAGCATACTTAAATGAATAAAAGACAGTTATTTCCTTTTATTATTCCTACTAGTTCACAGAGATACAATTAATATTTGCAATAATTACTTCAGTTTACAAATCTAACTATAGTAAATATTACATTCCCTAACCCCACTTTTAATATAGTGTTGAATTTTCATCTTATTTTTATACAAATATCAAGACCTTTATATATACACGCACGCACATATATATGCACACAAGTACGTATATATTTACATGTATGATATTTTATTTTAAAAAATTCCAATTATACCTCTTTTTTAAAACTTGGCATGTGCTTATTTTTTTCCATATTGCACATGACAAATCTTGTGTGAGAAAGTTGAATAAAAGCCATGATAATAAATATCTTGACCTCATTCCTATCTCAGGGAGAAAGCCATATTTCATCATTAAGTGTGATGTTTTTTATAGTATTTTTTAATTACTTTTATCAGACTAAGGGAGCTTTTTATTTTTAGTTTAATGCTAGAATTTGTTATAAATGATTAGTGAAATTATATTGAGTGCTTTTGTTCTATCAATTGAGATGATGATATAAATGATCTTTTCTCTTCTATTAATATAGGATTTGAACTGACATTTGGATGTTAAACCTATTTTACATTTTGGAATTAGCACCATTTCTTGTAATGTATTATCCTTGCCAGAGCATATGATTATTTACAATACCTATGTTTGCTTAGGAAATTTGTTATCATTGTAAGTATGATTATAATATTGTCATATTTTGGTATCAAAGTTATGCTACTATCATAAATTTTTTGGACTATGCTCTCTTCTTAGTTATTTTCTACAAGAAAGTTATTTATCCATTACTTAAATGTTGGAAAGATTTCATTAATAATGAAAATCATCTATGCTTGCACTTTTCTTTGTGGAAAAAATGTTTAATTCCAGAGTTTAAATTAAATAGATATAAATTCAATGTAATATATATTTCTCTTTTGTTAGATTTAGTAAATTTGGTGATTTGTTTGATTTATCCAAATTTATCTAAACTTTAAATGTTGTCCCTTAGTACCCTCCTACTATCTTTTAAAATTACTAGTGTCTGTAGGTTATTTTCAATTAATGTCTAATGTTGGTTTTTTGCATGACCTTTTTTCTTATTTAGTCTTGTCATGTATTTATTCATTACGCTGATCTTTTTCCAAAAACATCTTTTTGTCTTTGTTGACATCTTCTATTAAATGGTAGTTTTATATTTTATTAATTTTGTATCATATTTATTTTTTTCATTATTTTAATCTCACATTATCTTATTTCACTGATCCTTTAGTAATTTCTTGAGATAGACCAGGATTAGCAAACTTTTTCTATAAGGACAACATAGTAAATATTTTAGTCTCTATGGTCCATACAGTCTCTGTCTAAACTTTTAAACTCTGCAATTGTAGTGTGAAGATAGCCATAGACAGATGAACAAGTGGTTGTGTTTCCATAAAACTGTATTTTTATAAAGAGCAGTGAACCATATTTGCTTGCGGGCCTTGATTTCCCAACTCTGTAGCAGATCATTCCTATTTAGGCTTTCTTATTTTAAAATATAATTTCCCGTTATTTCTTGTTTAACAGCATCTGATAAACTTGATTTATAGTGTTTTTAAAATCATTTATCATACAACGTATTTTAAATTCCTTTGTTATTTATTCTTTGTCCCATTGGCTACTTATAAATTTATTTCCTAATTTTCAATCATCTAGAGATTTTCAAGTGTTTTATTCTTTTTTTAAAAAAATCTAGTTAAATTTTATTATACTCTGATACCATATTCAACATGATTTCAGTTATTTGAAATGATACAGCATATCAATATGAATTTGTGGAATTTTTGTATACCTTAATCAGATTTGCATTCTGAAGTGATTATGTGCTGCATTTTGTATGTGTCTACAAAGTCTATTTTATAATTATGTTCAATTTTCTATATCATTACTTTTTTTTGCTTGTCAATCACTTACTAAAAGTATTGTAATAAAATATCCCATTGTGAGTAAAGATTTGTCTATTCTTATATATGTTCAGTCAATTTTATATTTACATATTTTAGGGTCATTATATCAGTTTTCCCAAATTTGGAATAATTACATCTTCCTGGCAGATTTATTCTTTTATCTTTATGAAATGTCCCTTTTTCTGGATTAATAATTCTTGTCTTAAAAATCAATCTTGCCTAATATTTACATAGCTATACTTATTTTGAATAATATTTGCAGGGTATAACTTTTCCATCTTTTGTTTTTAATATATCTGTTTTACTGTATTTAAGATATCATGTATTAAGCAGTGTATTTTTTATTATGTTTTATCAAAGGTTTTCAATTTTATCTTTTAATAGAATGTTTATTGCATTGATGTTTAATTATAAAACTGACAAATTGAGGTCCTAACTTGCCAATTCAATATCGGCTTTCCGTTTTATTATTTTATTCTATTTTTATTTCAATTTTCTTCTCTAGTAGTTTATAAATTGAATATTGTAGGACTTTCAGTAGTTTTCATACAGAAAATACCACGAGTCACTGATAGTCTAATGTAAGTGCTTTTACATCTCAGAGAGTGCAAAGATCTTACAATGCTTTAAATCCATTTATTTCTCATCATATTATAAATTTTGCCTGTTGTTTATTTAAATTTGGGCATGTTTGGGACATTACATGATCTATTATTGCAATTTTTAAATAATCAACAGTAATGGCGATTTGCTAGTATATTTCATTTTCATTTCTTCCTTCCTGAATCTCGAGACTGCCATCTGACACTATTTTTCTTTTTTCTGCTGGAAAACCATTAGTATTTCATTTAGTATGTGAGTACTATTGCCAGTTTTTGACAGGTTATTTTCTTGGTAATAGAATTATTAATTTGCAGTTTTCTTTTGTCATAGTATAGTTACTCCATATTCTTCTTGATTCCACTATATCTGTGAGACACCTGTTGTCTATAGTATTTTTATTGTCTTTATTCTATGGCAGTGTTTAAGATTTCCTCTTGGTTGTCTATGGTTTTCAGCAATTTTACTATGCTATGTGTGGTTTTCTTTTTCTCATAAGACATTTGAGTAATTGATATTCTTGGAACAGTGTCTTCAATTTTTGCCAGCTTTGGAAACTCTAAGATTGTCTTTTCAAAAATTGTTTCCACTCTATTTTTTCTTTTATCTAATATTTTAATTATGCATGTTTGACTTACTAATCTATGTTTCAAAAAAATTCTTTATTTTGTCTTTTTATGTTTGAGTTTCTGTTGAAATATTTTCTTCTTACTATTTCAGAATTTTTCTCATATGTTTCTTTTCTATAGGTCAATATATCTATTGCCTTTTTAACACATTCAAAGAGCATACCTCCTATTTTTCAGCCAAGTCTTATACGTCTTGTGTGTTTTCGTTTGTTAGTTTCCATAGTATGTTGGAAATTAGGTATAAGTCTGTCTATAAAGATCACTCTAAGTCAATCCATTATTTAATGATTCAAACATGGGTTTCTTTGCCTATGAAGGTGGTCTTATCCTGGTTGCTCTTACTCCAACATGTGATTTTAAGGGTCCAAAATGAAAGCATTGCGACATTTACTACAGTCTCCATTTTTTGAGAGGTCCTGAATTTCCATTTTACTTTCATTCCTAATGAGTTTGATAAATGCCCAGCTTATTAGTTGAGCTCATAAACCACAGCTTTTAAAATGAAAATACTTCAAAGAAAAAGTAATGCCTAGTTCTGGGCTTACATCTCAGAGCTTTATTTATTTCCTGGGTTTTTGGACCATCAAGAATTTGCTGCTTATGCTATCCCTGATACCCATAGACAGACACATTAATTTATTTAAAATTTAGTTTTCCAGATTTTCCAGTTATTCTAAGTAAAAGAGATGGTCTAAAAATGCTACTTATTGGCCAGTTGCAGTGGCTCACACCTGCAATCCCAGCACTTTGGGAGGTTGAGGCGGGAGGATCACTTGAGGTCAGGAGTTTGAGACTAGCATGGCCAACATGCTGAAACCTCATCTCTACTTAAAAAATACAAAAATTAGCCAGGCGTGGTGGCATGCGTCTGTAATTCCAGCTACTCAGGATGCTGAGGCAGGAGAATCGCTTGAATCCGGGAAGTGGCGGTTGTAGTGAGCCAAGATGGTGCCACTGCACTCTAGCCTGGGTGACAAAGCAAGGCTCCAACTCAATTAAAAAAAAAAAAATGCCACTCATCTATTGATGGAAGTAAACATTTGGCTTCCAATTTTCTACAAAATTAATTACAGAAAGACCCAAAAGCACTTTGTTACTCAATGATGTGAAGAAAATACTGGTCTTCATGTTTAAACAAGAGTATATATCACATGCTTGTAAGAACAAAAGCAGCTAAAGCCATCTACAACTTTTTCAGGTCAATTTTCTGTGTGTGTGTTTATGTAGGTATGTATGAATGTATGCAGTTACATGAGATGCTGTAGTTTTTATATCCAATGAATTCCAGAAGTGAAGATGTGTGCTATATTTTCAGAGGTTAGAATTTGATATGGATCTCTTCCATTTATTTTGTCAAATATAGTATAACAACAATGGAAGAAGAAAATAAAAATAATAACTTCTTCAAATAATTTATAAGAATAAAACTTTCCTAATAATGTCTTGGTCTGAATAATTTAAGGAAACTGTTTTCTTCTCATATATGACAAACAACCACCCCTAAAATCATAAAATACAAGTAGAATTAATTTGGATGTGACTTTGCATTACATATACAGGTATTAGTTCAATATTACGTAAGTATTACTGTTAATGTGACTGCATATTTATTCGCAGATTTGAGAACCCTGGAATTCCACCTGGCATGATATTATAAGGAAGAAAAATTTCTGACACCTTGAACTTGCTATATAGTGTTATACTCATATTCATTCTAGTATTTTGAAATTGAATTAATCAGCAGATTATTATATTCTCATTGAATAAGAAGATACCGTTGAGGGTTAAGAATTTGAAACTGTTTTACAAAACAACAACAACAAAATATAGTTATAACATAGCATAGAAGCATATATTTTAAAAATTTAAAGCAAATTATTTGAAAAAAATTATGTTTACAAATTAAAGTCACTCTCACAGGCTTCAAGACTATACATAGATCCTCCTCTGCCATGCATTAGAAGATAAGGACACTGTGTACTAAATAACTTTTCCCTATAGTGGTGAAATTGGCTTAAGAATTAGGTAATTTTAAACTGAATTTCAGTTTAGATTTATTTTAAAACAAACGTGGTTCACAGGAGAAGGTATTTTTTTTTGGTCACTGAGGCTAACAGACAATAAATAGTTTATTGCCTCAAAGAACTGCTAACAAAGCAAAGATACTTATCTCTTTCTTTACTTCTTTCAATCATTCTATAGTTTTTACATGTGATGATATCCTTCTTTCTCTGTTTGAAGAACTAGCCGTGATACACAGATGAGAGAGAGAAAGAGAGAGAGAGAGAATTAATTGATAGATAGTTAGAAATGCAAATCCTCTAGTTCAAAAAGTGCTAGAAGTGGGTCCAAGTTTCTACAAAGTAGCTTCAATATCTAACTGCTTAAGATACTCCTTTAAACAGCTATGAATAAACATATAAAGCTAATAATTCTCTTAAAGTTCTGATGAGCTTAGTTTACTAAAAGTGCTTGCCTCATTTTGAAATAAGAAACAAAAATGCAACTTTTAAAAAATTTTTGGTCATTTCTTAATAGCATAATAGTTTTTATGAAAAAAAGCAATTTCTTTTTTCTTTATTTTTTTATTTTTTATTTTATTTTTTTGAGGTGGAATCTCACTCTGTCGCCCAGGCTGGAGTACAGTGGCATGATTTTGGCTCACTGCAACCTCCGCTTCCCAGATTAAAGTGATTCTTGTGCCTCAGCCTCCCAAGTAGCTGGAACTACAGGTTACCACCACCACACCCAGCTAATTTTTGTATTTTTTGTAGAGATGGGGTTTCACCATGTTGACCAAACTGGTCTCAAACTCTTGACCTCAAGTGATCTGGCTGCCTCGGCCTCCCAAAATGCTGGGATTACAGACATGAGCCACTGTGCTCGGCCAGTAATTTCATTTCAAATACAATTTTTAGTCAAAACCAAGTCTTTGGATTAGCCAAGGAATATCTGCATATCACTATAAATCCACACAAACTTTTTCATGCTGGGGCTTTTTTGAACAGCTGCTTTTTGACCCTGTTGAATAATTTCTATAATGTTGGCTATACACAAGATACATTTCATGTGACTATAGAAAGAAAAAAGTATACCTCTAGATATGAAAACAATTTGAATTAGGTGTTGAAAAGTTGTAATTATCAGTCAACCATTACTCATTTTAAAAGAGTTTCTTCAGAACTCATCATGTTTTAGCTATTTTGGAAATATAATATCTTTATTTTTCCCTTAGGGATTTTTATAAGCAACCAAAAAAAGAGCTATAATCCAATATAACTTTTAAACATACTACCAGCAACACGGAAATACACAAAAACATTTTCAATATGGGGCTTTCAGTTGAGAGATAAGTGACAGGTATGTGTACGTGATATGGTTAGGCTTTGTGTTTCTGCTCAAATCTCATCTTCAATTGTAATCCTCAGGTGTTGAGCAAGAAGACCCGGTGGGAGGTGGTTAGATCATGGAGGCAATTCCCCCCCGTCCTGTTCTCATGATAGTGAGTGAGTTCTCATGAGCTATGATGGTTTTATAAGTGTTTGACAGCTCCTTTCTTGTTTGCTTCTTCTCTCTCCTGCCATCCTTTGAAGAGGTGCCTCTCACCATGATTTGAAGTCTCCAAAGGTTCTCCCGAGGCATGCAGAACTATGACTGAATTAAACTTCTCTCTTTAAAAAAAAAAAAAATTACCTAATCTCAGGCAGTTCTTTATAACATTGTGGAATCAAATTAATGCAGTAAATTGGTACTGGTAGAGTGGGGTACTGCTATAACAATGCCCGAAAATGTGGAAGCGGCTTTGGAACTGGGTAACAGGCAGAAGTTTAAACAGTTTGGAGGGCTCAAAGGAAGACAGGAAGATGTGGGAATGTTTGGAGTCTCCTAGAGACTTGTTGAATAGTTTTGGCCAAAATGTTGATGGTGATGTGGACAATGAAGCCCAGGATGAGGTGGTTTCATTTGGAGGTGAGTAACTTACTGAGAACTGGAGCAAAGGTCATTCTTTAGCAAAGAGACTGGCAGCATTTTGTCCCTGACCTAGAGATCTGTGGAACATTAAACTTGAGAGAGATGATCTGAAATTGGAACTTCTGTTTAAAAGGGAAGCAGAGGCTGGGTGCGGTGGCTCATGCCTGTAATCCCAGCATTTTGGGAGGCCGAGGCGGGCAGATCACGAGGTCAGGAGATCGAGACCATCCTGGCTAACACGGTGAAACCCCGTCTCTACTAAAAATACAAAAAATTAGCCGGGTGTGGCGGCAGGCGCCTGTAGTCCCAGCTACTCAGGAGGCTGAGGCAGGAGAATGGCGTGAACCCAGGAAGCAGAGCTTACAGTGAGCCAACATCACGCCACTGCACTCCAGCCTGGGCAACAGAGCAAGACTCTGTCTCAAAAAAAAAAAAAAAAAAGGAAAGAAAAGGGAAGCAGAGCATAAGAGTTTGGAAAATTTGCAGCCTGATGATGTGATAGAACTTGTAACTGGGATTAGTTTCCTGATAGGAGTCCCTAGAGAGCTAGCTTTGCCCTTCACCATGAGAGGGTGCAGTGAGAAAATAGCTATCTTTGAACCGGGAAGCAGGCCCTTACCAGACATGGACTCTGCCAGTGCCTTGATATTGGACTTCCCAGCCTCACAAACCATGAGAAATAAATGTTTGTTGATTTAAAAAAAAAAAAAAGAAAAGAAAGAAAAAGAAACACCAATTTTCTGGGGAGAAATTTAAGCAGGCTGAAGAAGTTTGCATAAGTGATGAGGACCCAAATGTTAATTGCCAAGACAATGGGGAAAATGTCTCCTGCACATGTCAGAAGTCTTCTTGGCAGCCCCTCCCATCACAAGACTAGAAGCCTAGGAGAAAAAAATGATTTTGTGGGTCAGGCTCGGGGCTTTGCTGCCCTGCATTGCAGCCATTGCTAAAAGGGGCCAAGGTACAACTTGGTCCTTTGCTTTAGAGGGTGAAAACCCTAAGCCTGGGAGGCTTCCATGTTGTGTTGAGCCTGTGGGTGCACAGAAGCCAAGAACTGAGGTTTGAGAACCTTCACCCATATTTCAGAGGATGTATGGAAACACCTGGATGTCCAGATAGAAGTCTATTGCAGGGGCAAAGCCCTCATGGAGGACCTCTGCTAGGGCAGTGCAGAAGGGAAATGTAGGGTCAGAGCCCCCAACACAGAATCCCCACTGGGGCACTGCTTAGTGGAGCTATGAGAAGAGGGCCACCATCCTCCAGACTCCAGAATTGTAGATCCACCAACAGCTTGCATTGTGCACCTGGAAAAGGTGCAGACACTCAAAGCCAGCCCATGAAAGCAGCTGGGATGAGGGCTATACCATGCAAAGCCACAGGGGTGGAGCTGCCTAAGATGGTGGGAGCCCAACCCTTAGATCATTGTGACCTAGATGTGAGACATGGAGTCAAAGGAAATCATTTTGGGGCTTTAAGATTTGATGAACACCCTGCTGGATTTTGAACTTGCATGGGACCTGTAGTCTCTTTGTTTTGGCCAATTTCTCCCATTTGGGATGGGAGCATTTATCCATGCCTATACTCCCATTGTACCTAGGAAGTAACTAGCTTGCTTTTGATTTTCCAGGCTTATAGGTGGATGGGACTTGCTTTGTCTTGAATTCGATGTCACTTGGACTTTTGAGTTAATGATGAAATGAGTTAAGACTTTGGGGCACTGTTGGGAAGGCATGAATGGTTTAAATTGTGAAAAGACATGAGATTGGGAGGGGTCAGGGGTGTAATAATATGGTTAGGATTTGTGTCCTCACTCAAATATCATCTTGAGTTGTAATCTTCAGGCATTGAGGGAGAGACCTGGTGGCAGGTGATTAGATCATTGTGATCTAGTCATGGAGCTGGTTCCCTTTATGCTGTTCTCATGATAGTGAGTGAGTTCTCACAAGATGTGATGGTTTTACAAGTATTTGATAGTTCCCCTCTCATTCACTTCTTCTCTCTCCTGCTACTCTGTGAAGAGCTGCCTTCCACCATGGTTGTAAGTTTCCTGAGGCCTCCCTAGCCATGCAGAACTGTGAGTCAATTAAACCTCTTTTCTTTATAAATTACCAGTCTTGGGCAGTTTTTTTATAACAGTGTAAAATTGGATTGATACAGTATGTCTGATTACATTATTTATATCTTTAAATTATAAGACAAATATGATCTACATTTTCTGAGTTGAAAGAGCAGAAATAGAAAATAAGTATCAGTCTAACAGGTTATGAATGATATAATCATGTTCTAAAAGCACTGCTAGGTATCTGCTTGTTATACCATGAATATGTATACCAAAATATGGAAATAGAACAAAAACTTGCTAGTATTATAAGATTACAAATAAAATTAAATGCATTACAATAACTATCACTTGGAAATGTTTTAAAACTCAAAGTGTTTGATGTCTATAGAAAACATTATGTAAAGTAAATAACGTAGAAAACTGGGCAGTGATCACTGAGCAGTGATAAAGCCGTTTGAATTGAGTCTGTTTCAGCCTATAAGATGTTACATTAGTTATTTTGTAGGACAGACTCTAGGTTAGCCTCCAATTATTTTCATCCAGTGGTATTCATGCATTTATGTAACTCCTTCTCTTTGAATATGAATGAGGTTTCTCTCTTACTTCTATCTAATAGAACATGGCAAAAGCCATTCTATGTCACTCCCATAATTACATTGCACTATATGACAAGAATATGGTATATGGTATATTGCTATCATGAATATGTTATATGACTGCTTCTTTTTTTTTTTTTTTTTTTTTTGAGATGGAGTCTTGCTCTGTGGCATGCAGTGGCACAATCTCGGCTCACTGCAAGCTCTGCCTCCTGGGTTCATGCCATTCTCCTGCCCCAGCCTCCTGAGTAGCTGGGACTACAGGTGCCTACCACCACGCCCGGCTAATTTTTTGTATTTTTAGTAGAGATGGGGTTTCACCATGTTAGCCAGGATAGCCTCAATCTCCTGACCTCGTGATCCACCTGCCTCAGCCTCCCAAAGTGGTGGGATTACAGGCATGAACCACTGTACCCAGCCATGACTGCTTCTTGACCTACTAAAGCTAGAGAATTTCCTTGCCGGCTTGATGGTGTAAGTGGCTTTGTTGTAGGAGACCATTAGGAACTACAGGTGGCCTTTAGGAATTTTGGGTGGCTTCTAGGACCTGAGGGTGACCTCTAGCTACAAAGAGAAAAAATCCAGCCTACAGTTATAAGAAAATAGATTCTGCCAAGAACCTGGGTGATAACTGCTGTACAACATTGCCTTACTTAGACAATAACCTAAATGAACGTGGAAGCAGATTCCTTTCCAGTTCCCCAGTCATAACTCCAGATGAGACCACCACCTGGCCAATGCCTTGAATGCAGATTTGCAAGACTGAGCAGAGAACCCAAGTAAGCCATGCGTCGACTTCTGACCCCACAGAAACTGTGAGATAATACATATGTGTTCATTTAAGCAGCTTAGTTTGTGGTAATTTTTTTTTTTTTTTTTGAGATGGAGTCTTGCATTGTCACCCAGGCTGGAGTGCAGTGGCACAATCTCAGCTCACTGCACGCTGTACCTCCCAGGTTCACGCCATTCTCCTGCCTCAACCTCCTGAGTACCTGGGACTACAGGCACCAACCACCATGCCCAGCTAATTTTTTTGTATTTTTAGTAGAGATAGGGTTTCACTGTGTTAGCCAGGATGGTCTGGATCTCCTGACCTCGTGATCTGCCCGTCTTGGCCTCCTAAAGTGCTGGGATTACAGGCATGAGCCACCACGCCTGGCTGGTAATTTGTTATGAAGCAATATAAAACTAATACAACCATCTTATCTAATAGTAAAAGCTAAAGAAAACAAAAACACAAAAAATTAGATTTAAAAAATGATGTGTTACAAGAAAACAACTAATATAACAGTCTTACTTATCAGTTCTATTTCTAACACATCCTGTATTTGTAACCCTTAATTCCAATAGCATATAATAAATGTTTAATTTTACTTTCCATGTATAATTTATGATTATACTGACATCTATTTCAAGAATATGAAGATTTTTTTTTGTAATTTTAAGCATTCAGTTGACCTCATTTATATGAGAAAAAAAAGAAATAACCCAATCTATCTTTTTAAACAATATTGGAAACATAAGCTTAATTTTTCAGACTTTCAAAGGAAATCTGTTTTATGTCATTTTTATTTTAGAGAAAAAGAAGATATCAAAGAGAAAAAAAGAATGTTTACTTAGTGATCAGCAATTTAAAAAGTTAAAAATAAAAAAAAATCCAAGTATACTATATCAGTAATATTCTTATAAAATATAGCCTGTTGAATTGTTCAGAGTAACTATAATTAAAACCTATAATCTTATACTCAGTGAAGGAATCCCTTACTTACAGATATTGTTTTCCAACATGTAATTAAAACCATGATAAGTCACAAACATAATAATGTCATACATATATGTCTATACATCACTATTAGCAGGGCATTCCACTCGCAGGGTAGGCGTCTGAAATCTAGATTCAAACTGCTTAGCTCTCTGCTGATGCCTCTCACTAGCTATATGACCTTTGGTAAGGTTCTTAACCTCTGTTAAGCATTTGTAAAACAAGTATAGTGTTTGTTTCTGCATTTGTAAAACAAGTATAATGCTATTAATAGCATAGGTTTGTTGTCAGGATTAAAGGCATATAATAAATATTCATAAAACAGAAAAATATCTGGTATATTTTAAATGTGTAATGTTAACAATTATTCTGTCTAATATTATTTATTAATTAAAATCAGTTGCTCTAATGGTTTACAAAAATTACAAGGAAACTCCTATTCTTAGAAATCTAAACATGCATGAATCATTTTGTTATTTTTAAATAAAAGGAGAAAATGTTTGCACTTATCCTTACTTAGTTCCTCAGAATTTATTCCTGCAAATAAATGGTAAATCTAATATACACCATATTTTCAAATTTGATGCATATAAGCAAGTTCCCTTAAAATTATCCATCAATTTCTAACTTCCAGAATAATGTATGAGGATGTTCTATACTTCCCCATGTACTTGGTGCTTACTTTTTTTACTTCTCAAATTATGTAGATATTGAGTTTTGCTTCATTGTTGTTTTACTAGACTGTTTCATAATTATAAAAATTTATTTTAAAATCTTCATTAGACGTCTCTTCTTTATTGAATTAATACTATTTACTTATTTTTGCAATTTGCTTTTAGTGTCATATCTTAACTTGTTTCAAAAAAAGGCATTTTATATACTTTATTAGCCCATTGTCACTCACATATAGTTGAGGGATAAATTATTTATATGCCACCTGAGTTTAAAATTTTTGTACTAAAATATTTTAAACTTAATATTTAACACATTTTGCCTATTTTTCGTATTTCTATCTTTGCAAAATATAAAGTTACTTCCAACTTCCCATATTTATTTTGATCTCTTACATATTTTTATATTTAAATATTTAATGTCTTTATGTATTTGTTTAATAAGCTGATGTTCTTTAATGTACACACAAAAGGTAAAGTCATAAGTGTTTTAGAAGATAACTCAGAAGACTAACATGGAAAAGACTGATGTAGGAAATATTCCATAAAGAGGTCACAAATGCTTGAAAAGTAAAAATGAACAACATTAAATGTAAGAAATCTTTGAAAGATATTATTAAGAAAGTGAAAAAATCTTAGACAAGCCGCAGCATGGAAGATGCTCACAAAACAATCTCTGATAGCTTTGTATTTGGCATACATGGAGAACTTCATTACATCAATAACAACAAATGTAAGGGGAAAATCCATGAATGTGGAGAAGTTCTGTTTAAAGAAAAATAATTAATGACTTGAGATTACATGAATGTACGTAGGAGTATCAGTAACTTAGGGTGTTATCAATGAAATAATTTTAAAACCTGTGAAGTACTGAAAGAGTGAACATCAGCTGTACTAATGAAAAAAAAGGAGCCCTGCCTTTAATTAGCCTGAGAGAACAGACACAGATAAAACACAATTAATAAAGAAAAAAATTTCTCCCAATATGGTGCATTAGTTGTAAAATACCATGGGAATTCCTTCTTTGAGTGATAACTTCTTTCATACCAATGATGTCCCAGAGCCACTTTGCTATTTTTGTACATTGCTAGAAAAACCCAGCAGGTAAATTGTCTACACCTCATAACATCACCCAATTTTTAATAATTACCCTCTTCTAATTCTGCCTTGGAAAGAGAATTCAGTCTAGTCTGTTTCTCTTAGACTCTGTTTGGACTTTATCAGCACAAGCCCATATACCTTATGAAAGACACTTCTCTCCCACTCTTGTGAGGCAGCAATCTATAGTTCCACAAAGTACCTACCTTAGTTACATCAAATAAATAAATCTGACCCTGTCAAAGTAAGTCTTATGTCTAGTGTTCTTTGGCTGATTAGGCTTTAGAAATATGGTAGAATACAAACATGATGCCTCTTAAAGAGGTAAGAAAAAAATTTGCTTTAATACTGAGGAAAAGTGAAAATCACCTGGTGACCATTGAACGAACTCCGGACACAAAAACCCCTTATCTGAGAAATTTAGAAGGGAGCAAAGAACACCAGCAAACAGGCCATCCAAATGCTAAACTCCTCATCTGGAAATTTTAGAAGTAATTAAACTTCCCCAGTATCTCAAGTGGGCATCTGATTCCAGGCCTTTTTTTTTTTTTTTTTTTTTTTTTTAAGACTGAGTTTCACTCTTGCTGTCCAGGCTGGAGTACAATGGCATGATCTTGGCTCACAGCAACTTCTGCCTCCTGGGTTTAAGTGATTCCCCTGCCTCAGCCTCCTGAGTAGCTGGGATTACAGGCATGCACCACCACACCCAGCTAATTTTGTATTTTTAATAGTGACGGTGTTTCTCCATGTTGGTCAGGCTGGTCTCGAACTCCCAACTTCAGGTGATCTGCCTGCCTTGGCCTCACAAAATGCTGGGATTACAGGCGTGAGCAACGGCGCCCGGCTCCAGGCCTCTTTCAACTTTTATAAGTAGCTAAAATTTATATACATCTCTGGAATGCCATGCCAAAACTCATTTTACAACCCTAACCTCCTGCCTGAAAATTCATAAATGTTCGTAAGGAAAATCCACCACCATACCTTAATCCTCCGGCTGAGGTTCCCCGAACCCTCGTGCAGTGTTCTTCCTTTCTAAAAAACTTTCCTTTTTTCAAGCCTATAATGTTGTCAGTAAACTCTTTTTACCAATCCGCGTATGGATCACTTACTAGTTAGACATTATAGATAAAGTTTGAAATAAAAATAGTAATGATGCTGGAAAGGGGTCCCGATCCAGACCCCAAGAACGGGTTCTTGAATCTCACACAAGAAAGAATTCAGGGCAGGTCCGTAAAGTGAAAACAAGTTTATTTAAAAAGTAAGGGAATAAAGAATGACTACTCCATAGGGCTGCTGCTTGCCCATTTCTATGGTTATTTCTTGATGATATGCTAAACATGGGGTGGATTCTTCATACCTCACCTTTTAGACCATACAGGGTAACTTTCTGACGTTGCCATGCCATTTGTAAACTGTCATGGCTCTGGCAGGAGTGTAGTGGTGAGGATGACCAGAGGTCACTCTTGTTGCCACCCTTTTGGTGGATTTTAGCCGGCTTCTTTATTGCAGCCTGTTTTGTCAGCAAGGTCTTTATGATCTGTGTCTTATACTAACCTCGTGTCTCATCCTGTGACTTAGAATGCCGAGCTGTCTAGGAATGCAGCCCAGCAGATCTAGCCTTGTTTTCCCAGTCCCTATTCAAGATGATGTTGCTCTGGTTCAACTGCCTCTGACAGCAATGTCTATCTAAAGAATCAGGTGAAATTGAGCACATAATATCGAAATATCAGTTTTAAAATAATAGCAAATACCAAGAATAATAATAGAACACACTAACTAGTAAATTTAAAAATTATTTTGTTTACAGTTAAATGACTACTCAAGTGACCTATGCTTTTTAAATATATATATACATATTTTTATTTTATAAACATCTAAAAACCAGCATATGCATATTATCTCCTTGTCAGACCTCTGAGCCGAAGCTCAGCCATTGTAACCCCTGTGACCTGCATATATACGTCCAGTTGGCCTGCAGGAGCCAAGATGGACTGCAGGAGCCAAGAAGTCTGGAGCCATCGAAAAACCACAAAGAAATGAAACAGCCAGTTCCTGCTTTAACTAATTAACCCACCTTAGGGCATTCTACCATTATGACTTGTTCCTGCCCTGCCCCAACTGATCAATCGACCCTGTGACATTCTTCTCCTGGACAATGACTCCCATCATCGCTCCACCATGCACCTTGTGACCCCCTCCCCTGCTAACAATAGATAACCACCTTTAACTGTAACTTTCCACTGCCTACCCAAGCCCTATAAAACTGCCCCTCGCTATCTCCCTTCGCTGACTCTCTTTTCAGACTCAGCCAACTTGCACCCAAGTGAATAAACAGCCTTGTTGCTCACACTAAACCTGTTTAGGTGGTCTTCTATACGGACACACATGACACTCCTTTCATATATTCTGAATGAGAATTCAACGAAAACTAGTCTTTTTCTAGATTGTGTGGTTTTATTTATATTGCTTACAATAAAGTAATAAAGTTTGCAAGTATTCAATAATATTAGACTAAAATAATTTAAGGTCTTTTACATTTTTACTTCTAAATAGTGATGCCTATATTAATCAATAATAGAGTGAAAATTAAATGTTCCACGTATTCTGTGTAGTTCTAACATCTAAAAATATGTCTCGGTAGTAATATACTGTAATACTCTTTTTTTTAATAGAATATTTAAAGTAAATACAGAGTCTCATGAAAAAAAACCTGGTATTTGGACATTGAAAGTGGAAATGCATACAAATTTAAGCACTCTTTATTAGAATCTTAAGTCTTGCTCTTCTTTGCTTTCTATGCCCTAAATACCAAGCACTTAGCTGGTAATTAGTACTTTTCCAAGAAAATTGCTTCTTTGCTTCAGATCAATGATCAGCAATAATTAAAACAGCTAAAACACTAGAAAAACAGGCTAGAAAATAGAAAGACATGGTAACTAAATCCGGTTTTTAAGCTGTTAATTAAAATAGGCAAAGACACAAGTAAAAAAACTAAATCCCTCAATCACTATAAATAATTCCATTTTTTGTGTCATTGAACACTTTCTTACCAAAATTTAGAATTTATTTATTATTCTTAAGTTTTTGCAATGAGATCTAACAAAACAAATGATAGAGGGGTGAATTTTGCTTTGATTTGCTTCATCAAGGAAGAGTTAAATAACTAACATTAAAAAATGAATGCCATTCACGAGGTAATCTAGGTATAGGGTACCCATTCCAAATAGAGGAAATAACATGATTAAAGATATAAAGACTACAAAGCAGAGGTCAACTTGGGGATCATCAAGGTATTCAACTGGGGGAAAATTACTCGAGAAAATTTTCAAAAGCTATTACAAAGTTACTTTACTTTTTCTTTTGTTCATTTACTCATATAAAAAATATTTTTTGTTAGGCATAGGTCAGTTCCTGAAATACAATAATAAGCAAAACAGAATCAGCCCCACCCTTTGAGAGAAAAATGTGGACTAATAATTTTGTAAATATATAATTATAAATTCATATACAGGCCACAGATGAAAGAATATGAAACTATTAGACTTTTTAACAAGGCATTTATTAAAACATTGAGTTAGGATGCTAAGTGGTACTTACAAGTTGTAACTAAAGAGTTCTTATGTACCCGAGAATCATCTTAAAAAAAAAAAGCATATAATATGCTGCTCAAGATTTTTAAAAATGTACTGCTGAAGCAACATCGTTGTCTGGGGTAAATACCTGGGATTCGTCGTCTGGCATAGAGAAGAGTAACAAAAGGGACACATGTGGGTGCGTTAAGGAGTGGAAAGCTTAATAGGCAGAATAAAGGATAGAGTAGAGCAGCTCTCTCTCTTGTGAGAGAGAGGCATCCAAAAAGAAAAC
The DNA here is from genome assembly GCF_000001405.40 of Homo sapiens. Taxonomy (NCBI): domain Eukaryota; kingdom Metazoa; phylum Chordata; class Mammalia; order Primates; family Hominidae; genus Homo; species Homo sapiens. Next base: position 264,214 of record NW_003315915.1, on the reverse strand, counting down.
AGTCGGCCTGCAAAGGACCACAGCAGGTTTTATAGGCAGGCTTGAGGAGGTGGTGTGTGATTTACATAGAGCCCACAGCTTGGTTCCACCAGGTATGACATTTACATAGCGAGCAGGGAAGGCTGGTCGCCCCACCCTAATCTTATTATGCAAATGGGCTTTCTACTTGGCTAGTGCCATCTCGTCTGCTCCTTACTGTACATGTGGCTGGCAAAGAGAATGGAAGACGGAGCTGCCATTTTGATCATGCCTAGTCACAAGTAGCCTATAGGCACAACTGTTGGCATTTGCCTGTGCAAGCTTCTAACTTAATTGTCATGTCTGCAGTTCGATTTTACCATCTGCTGTTTGTTAGCAAAGGAAATTATTTGGGGGGTGCTTTTCATTAAAAGGAAACCTTACCAAGGGATCCTGTACCCTTACTATCTGCCTAAGTAGTTTCTTAACTCCTGTATCAAGGCAATAAATGATCACTGGAAATGATATTATCTTCCAAATCAAACTGAAATATTTTAAAAGAATAAAAATGTGAAAGAATAAAACTTTTTCAAATCTTGTTTTGGTTATATTATTTATTTAAGTAGAGAACAAAACTGCTACAGGGGACTAGTCCATCTAATTTTTTATTATATTTATTATTCAGCAATAATCTTGGTAGAAATTGCTAGAATAAGAAGTGTCCAGCACTAATTGATATCCACACTTATGATTTGATATTTCTATTAATTCATACACTTTCTTAAGATATGTAAGAAGAACATTTTGAATACAAGGTTTTACACATGAGATTTAATAATATCCCATGATTCTACGTTTATATATTTTTTTGTAAACATCTGTGACAGAGTAAAGTAGCTCTGCAGGAAAAAACAAATAAATTTTAAAAGACATAATATAGCATTTGCTAATTCTTTGGAGTAGCAATTCTCCCACAATAGCCAATTCCAATATATCAAATGTTGTTACTGAACATGGACTTTAGAAGAAATGTGGACAAAGAGCTCTGACAAGCCATATAAGCTGGTTGGAGAAAATAATGGTTTCATCTTTAATGATGTATCTTGACATAGTGGATTCATTTGTGTGCCCAATTTTTTCTAAACCTCTTGCAGAAATTACAATATTTGGAAAACTGTATTTAAGTAATATAAAAGATGATATACAGTACAAGACTCCATTCTAGGATCTCTTTTTTTCTCTTAATTCTCCATCTTATTTTCAAGGGACAATATGTTTACATAAATAGTGAGTTTGTGATTATTTTTCCTTGCAAAATAAAACAAATAACACTGAAAGTCAGTGCACACAAAACAAGGTTGCAGAGTTTTGGCAAGCCACACAACTTTTTGGCTTTCTTCCTATAAAGGATAATATTGAGCTATATTGTTAATTCTTTCTGGCATCAAGTCTATAGATTTTAGCTTTGAAAATACTGTCTGGTACTGTTAAGCTAAAATGTCACAACCCAATATATCACAGTTATTCTTGGATGGAAATTGTTTCTAGTGATAATGACAAAAATAATCAAAAGAACCAAGTTGAATAAAAAGAAACATGACCAATATCATTACATATTTTTAAGAGGTATCAGAATTCAGAGATTAAGAATATCAGAAGTGAGGCTGCAGGGGAATAGTTTACTGGTCAATATGTTATCAATGTTTAACAAATATGCTGGGATAGGGCTCAAGGGAATTAGGAATCATTGTCATTATCCCTCTAAGTCTAGTAACAAATCAGAAAGGAAAGAATATATATACATATAAAATATCACAAAGAAAGGATAAATGGTTAAGCTGATGAATACCCCATTTATCCTAATGTGATTATTATGCATTTTATGCCTGTATCAAAATATCTCATGTACCCCATAAATACATACACCTACTATTTGCCCAGAAAAATAAATAAAAATAAACAAGTAAAAAAAACCTTTTCAGCAAAACCCCAAGGGTATGATATATTAACCAGAATCTACCTACAAAGAAAAAGAGAAAAAACAAAACAAAACAAAACAAATGGGAAGTGAAATTACTATTTTGGGAGGTGGAAAAAATGAATTGTGGATGTTTCTTATTCACTAATCGAAGCTATAGTTAAGTAAGGTAAAAATTTTGCCATAGTTCATAGAACAATTGGATTGCTCGTAGAGAAAAGACAGCAGGACATCAGGGTGTAGTAGAAGAGGATAATTTCTGAAGGTTAAAAAAAAAGCATAGATTATATTAAACATTCAAAAAGAAAATATTCACAAGTTTTATAGGCTGATGAAAAATAAATAACAATGAAGGGAAGACCATTCTAGTAACATCTGGGTATCTGAAACTTGAGGTCTTCTCCTCCTTGTTAATGATCTTCATCCTCATAGTACTTTTTTTTTTTTCTTTGAGCCATAAACTCTGTGTTGCAGCCCCCCCCCCCCTTTTTTTTTTTTTTTGAGACGGAGTCTCGCTGTCTCCCAGGCTGAAGTGCAGTGGCGCGATCTAGGCTCCCGGCAAGCTCCGCCCCCCGGGTTCATGCCATTCTCCTGCCTCAGCCTCCCGAGTACGTGGGGCTACAGGCGCCCCCCACCAAGCCCGGCTAATTTTTGTGTGTGTGTTTTTAGTAGAGACGGGGTTTCACCGTGTTCTCCAGGATGGTCTTGATCTCCTGAGCTCGTGATCCGCCCGCCTCGGCCTCCGAAAGTGCTGTGATTACAGGCGTGAGCCACCGCGCCCGTGTGCTGCCGCTTTTTGTCCTGAATCTGAACAGCTCTCTGCCTAGCTTGGGATATCATCATCTACTCAATCTCTCTTTTTTTCCCTGCTATCTAAACTCAGAATCTCTGTTCTTGAAATTTGTTTTAACCTGAGTTCTTAACTGCTCGTCAGTTTAGCAGTCTTATGTGTGACTCAGTTTAGCAGTCTCATGTGTGACTTAGAATTTCCCTTTGTCTGGAGTTCATTCCCTCAAAAAAAGAAAAGAAAAGAAAAAGACTCAGTAGAAAGAAAACAAGGCTTTCTCCCTGAGAACAATTATATCTGACTAGAATCAAAAGGAGATACAGGTGGATTGGAAGCAGACCACAGCCAAACAGATGGAAATTCATTTGCAGGAGTATCCTTATATTTTCATAGATCTTCTTGACATGCCAAATTTACTTTTTCCTTCTCTTAAAATGTTTGATTTTGGAAATCAAAGTACAAATTTTGCAACTAAAGAATTGAGCCGACTTACATTTTCATTTTCTTTTATAACATGATTAAAATCAGGATTCCTGTGAATCCTAAAGATCTGAGAGACAGGTCTCAGTTAATTTAGTAAGTTTATTTTGCCAAGGTTGAGGACACGTGCCTTTGATACAGCCTCAGGAGGCTCTGATGACATGAGCCCAAAGCGGACAGAGCACAGCTTGGTTTTATACATTTTAGGGAGACATGAAACATCAATCAACATATGTATGATGAACATTGCCTGATTCCAAATTCTAAATGTTAGATGCACAGAGAGACACAATGGAATGGCCTATTCCTAAGAATTATCCTGACATTATAACATGCATCTGTACCATAAGAAGTTCAAATGCTAATCGCATACTCACTCATTTTATTTATCTGTGAAGAGAGAAAGGGAACACTCTCTGGCAGCATTAATTTTTCTCCTTGAAAAATTCCAAATTTATTTTTCACGTTTCACATGCAACATTAACATAATGACAAGATACAAATGTATACTTTCTTTGCATAGAGCTCTGTTAATATTTTCTTGTGTTTTAATGGTGCTTTAACTTCTAACTACAGGCAGATTCTACTAAGGTGGCATTAAATGAACCATTCTTATCAATGGGAGTTTTGATTCAAGTTCTTTTGGTACACAGCAGAAAGCGACTAAATATGGTAAAAATAAGCAAATGTTGCACAGATGCTCATAGCTGACTTCTTGGTTTCCAACTTATTAAATGGGCTTTTTGCAAACCTATAGATCGTTATTCATGCAGATTTTCTATCGAGGGTGCTTCAATAGAGACTGCCTATTCTGAGTTAATGAGAAAAGTCCTAATTAAGCTAGCCATATGTTCAATTGCATTTATAAATGGAAAAAATAGCCCTTTTTGCTGCTGATACTACCATTGTTGTCATCTCCTGCTGCTTTGGGTGTCACTGAAGCAGTTACTGTTTCAACAGTCTCCTCTATACTCCAGTGTGTTCATTCCAGACCTGCACTCTGTTTCATGAGATATTCTTGGCACGCACAGCTGAATGCCTGCAAAGCTTGCTTATGAAAATATCTTTCTGAAGATCTATGTCTGTATTGAATGCAACTATGTCTTCAATTTTGCCGTGGGGATATAGATCTAGCACTGCTGCCAAAACATATTCTTTCTTTTGAAGCATTTAATCTATTCTGTAGCACATGGAGAGCCCAGGAGTTAGGATTGCCCTACACAGCCCTTGTCCCTTTTGCCATGATATTTAGGTTTTGTTTTTGGCCTTTTCTTCTGTGCAGGTGCAAAGCATTTGTTTGAACTTATATCTTCGCTTGAAGTCAGGTAAATAAGCTAACTGTAAAAGCTGCATTACCTTGAGCCTAAAACTGCTTAGAGAAACCTATTTTTTTTTCCAACTACCTATACCTAAATATTTGAAAACTGTAGAACTAAAACTTCTAAATTCTTGATGATATCAGAACAATGTTTAATAGTATAATACTATTTCTTTATTCTACATTCTTAATTTATGTGATAAGCATATGTAGTGCTCCTACTGCGCCCTCTATGTTTTCTGTGGAATAAAAAAAAAATAGCATCCATTAGCAGAGATCTCATAGCCATGAAAATCAGTGGTTTTTGTGAATGTGTGTATAGGTTCAGTGAATCCATGTTAATTGTAAAAGGATTGGGATAATTCTGATGGCTTGTCTAAAGAAAAAAATGAAAAAAGGCTTATACAAATATAACAATAATGAGATGGGTTTTAAATGTTTCAGCTAATTGTTTCTATTATTTAGTATTAGCCAGAATTTACTCAGATAACTCTATGTACGAGGTACAATTTAATATTACCAATTGTATTGACGAGTAATGAGGTTTCAAAGAATTAAATGACTTATTCCATGGATCCCAGTAAACAAGCCAAGGAAATTGAATTGCAAAATGTCTACTCTTAACAACCACCCTCAAATATATAATTATATTATATTTTCTTTTCTTTTTGTATCTTTATCAAAACAATAAATCTTTCTCAAATTTATTTTGTTAAATGATATAGGATAGAAAAATTTCATTTTTTGTCTTCTGATATTATTTTCCAAAGGAGTGATAGCAACTAATAGACTATCTTTTTCTAGTCACGATACTAGAATCAATAAATAGATTTCAGTTTCTTATAGTCTTAAGTATTTCAATTAAATGATTATATCAACTGAAAATGGTGCATTTATCTTTTTTCAAAATGTATGTCTTATTTCTTTATTAAAAATATATAAAATAATTTCCAAAACAATGTTACATAATAACATATATAGTAAAGTTAGCTCATCCATGACTTTTGAAAATTCTAATTTTTTCTTGATAGACTCGATGTTAGTATTTGAATTAAAATAGATATCCTTTAATGTATTTAGAAAGTTTTCTGTGCACAAAGTAATCAATTTTTTTATCTTAACAGATATTGTAATTTAACAAATTATTATCAAGTTGACAATGTGATATTTTTATTTTGACCTGTCGATATGATACGACCACACAATCTGACTTTCTAAGCTACATGAATGTGTTATCCCTTTAATATACTACATTTGATTTTATACTTAATTCTTTTAATCTATCGCTAGATTTGAATTTAGATATATATTCCTTAAAATGGTTTCCTTGGAATAAGGAAGAAGGAACACTTGCTAATCTTAGCCTACCTCATTTCAACTATTTGACTGCTATTTGGAATCAATTAATAATAGAAAATAGTTTCAAGCCTTCCTAGATTTTTATTTTTCCTCTCATACCATATTTTTCAATATTTGTAATACCAAATAATTAAGGTTGCATTAGATTTTAACACATGATCACACACATGAACATATATAGTATATATAGATGCTACGTGTGTAAAATATTAATTATAAAGGAAATGGAAGGGCACATTTATGAGTGTAGACTTTTTGAAACTTCTAGTTTCCATTGGTTCCCCAGGAAACAGACTCCATAACAGAGATTTGAGTGTAGGAAGACTACTTGGGAATGTTTTAGAGATTAACACCATTAAAAGTGTGGGATATGATGAGGTTTCTCTTCAAATAATCTGATAAATCTTTTATTCTTTAATTCATAGTACCCCCTCCCCCATTTTTCACCTTTTTTTCTCCTTTTTTCCTTCTTGCCTTTGTTAAATGCCCAGGCACACCACAATACCAAGTGTTATCAATACCAGCTCACATTCCTTTCCTTATTTTTTTAAAAAACTAATTTTTGGCTCATTGCAGACACCACTTCCCCTTTCCCTCCACTTTCTTTTACGTGCCCATCCTGTCTAAAAAATATCAAATGTTTAGCCAACCAAAATTAGTTTCAATTCTACAACCTGACCCTGACCAATTAAAAAAAAAAAGAATACAGAGACAAGACTTGAGTCAAAAATAAAGGCTCTCGTGCCCCTTTGTTCAAGTGTGCTCTCATGGCAACTGGACAAAGAAGCACCCCCTGCACAAAAATAAAATTACTTTACTAAAAATCCTTTGTTTAAATATTCAATTTCCTTAAAATTTTGAGCGTTATTCCTAACAAAAGGATGTGAAAGAAATTAGATTAGGCAGAATGAGAAATTGAAACAAAGTGCGGTTCTAACAAAGGCAGTAGCAAATCTTACAATTCTGCCTAGATTTTGATGCTGCAATGGTCCTTCATCACTGTCCTTCTTTAGTGCAAGAGGGCCCGGTCTATACATAACTTGGCATTGACCAGTCATTGTGGAATGCTTCTGGTTAGGGACCATGGTGAAACAGGAAATTTTCCCTGACCCCTTCACAGGAATTGTGGAGGGGGTGACTTGTTTACTCAGCCGGCAGCTCTCAACCCTTCGAGGGAGGGGAAGCACGCAGGTGAGTGGGTGCAGGGGCCGGGATAAGTGCTTCTGGGCTCTGGCAGGAGCAGAACTCTGTGAGGCCCCAGAGCAGCATCTAGGGGGGTACCCGCGACTCCCAGAGTCCCAGAAGGCGTGTGTTACAGTGCGCTCTTTTATCTTTACCATCCGCAGACGACTTGTTCAACAGTGCAGTGTGACAGCCCTCTGTCTGTATCCTGAGCTCTTACTGGGCACCCAGGAAGAATCAGGTCGCACAGACAAATTGAGGATGGTAAATGCAGGGGATTTTATTGCCAATGAAAAGTGGCGCTCAGTGGGATGGAGAGCTGGAAAGGATGGAGCAGGAAGATGGTCTCCCACAATCAAACCATCCCTCAGTAGTCAAGCTGCTTTTCGCCCATGTCAAGCTGCTTCTTCTCTTGTCTTCTTCTCTGCCACTCCACTGCCAGTGGAGCCTGGGGTTTTTATGGGTACGGGGTGGGGGGCAAGGAGGGCCAGGGTGGTTTTTGGAAAAGGCAACATGTGAGCGGGAAAACAGGAATGCATGTTCTCACTTTGGGCCGCGGGGTAGAGGCTTGAGGGTGGGACCTCACCAGGGGCTACCCTCTTCTACCCAGTATTTCCCTGCTTCCTGTCCATATCAATGGTGGAGGTAAATTTTTTCTTTTCGAGGCAATTCCTGAAAGCATTTAACCACGAACACTCCTAGCAGCTGGGTCAATGAGCTGTAAAGTTTGGAAGGAAGAATCCCGATGACTACCACAGCCTCCACTGCAACTTCTTATGCTTTTCAGTTGTTCCTTCACAAAGTATTTACTGAACAATAACTATTTACGAGGCGTTTCTCTGCGTACTAAAGATATAGCCTTTAAGAAAAAGACAAAAATTCCTGACTCTTTGAAGTTTACATTCTAATGAATAAGAGAAATATCCATAGGCAGGGGATGCAGCATTTGTTACTTTCCAGGCCTCATAGTATTTTACACATTTAAAATATCCACATAGATATTAGTAGATATTACCTACCTACACATTTAAACTTAACAAAGAACATATGAGTTAAGAACTAATATGATCTCTTATGTTAATTTTCCAGTTAAACATTGCTTCTTTGAAAATTTAATTCATTAAATTATAGTGATTTTATTTTATATTTGCAAAAACATGTGTAAGGTAAATGGTGATATTTAGGCCAAAAATCTCCATGGACATTTATCTCTATTCTAAAGGAATATATTACCTGATTGTTATTCCTGGTAATAGTACCTCGTACATTCATGACCTGATAACTCTTGACAAAAATATTTTCATGTGAAGTTTATATTTAAACCAAATTCATTACAATATTCTACCAATAAGTCTATTGATTCTCTTTTTTCATGATTCATGTTCACTACTTTGACAATATTTTGATATTCTATTATGTACAAATGGAGAATATCTAAAGAGAATAATATGAAGCCCACTGTAAAGAAATTTACAGTGAACTTTTTTGGAGGATGTATCATCTGAGTTAGAAGATTGTACACAGAGCCTAGAAATCACTTATTTGGAAAAGAGAGAACTTCAGCCTTTATTCCACAAACCAAGCCATAAATAGTTGATAGAATAACAATAATTACACAAGTTTTAGCAATTCAAGAAACACTCTAGTTCAATTTTTCACTTCTAGGAGGGACTGCTATTAGAACACGACAAAAGTATCACTGATTAATGAAACTGTATTCCCTTTGCTATATTCCTGAGCATGTTCTAATAAGGGTGATCCACCAACCTTTCCGAATATAATTTATTTGATTATTTTATTATGGACATCTATTGCCTGGGGTTTTATTAATTTCATTTCTTTTCACAGATTGATGTTAGAGATGATTTAAAACATGTAAAACTGAATTCAACCAGTTCATGCAGTGCACTCAGAATTTCTTTCTTTCTCAAAAGAGTTTGAATTTACAGAAATGCTGAAATTATTTGTTAATATGTAATATTGCCATGTCCTTTGATAATACTGGGTATGGATTGAGTTAGTAATTCAAAAAACAATTTATGTCACAGATTGCAATGAGTGTATAGTGTATGTAAAATAATTTAGTAGAACTAATTGTATATTGTTATTAAAATAATACTGGCACAATGATTAATCTCAAAACAAACTGAAAAAGTAAATAGTTGCAGTCCAATATAGAACCTTGACACCATGAAATAAACATCCAGACACATGAAAACAATTAACCATGTAATTCTTCAGTATTATTATCACAGATTGATGGGATACTCAGGGCAATTGCTTATCAACAAACACCTGATTATGTCTCTTGAATCAGGAACCAGGCTATATAAAATTGTTCATGGAGTCATTTAATGTAAGAACTGAACAGTCTGTAGGAATATTTATGCTATTTAATATTATACTATGTACTAGAAATATTTAAAAATGTGTTATTGGAATACGGTGTCAGAAATATAAATCTCCATTTACAAATTAATGGTGTCTACATATAAGATAAAATCTAATCAGACATTACTTTGGAAAACATTACATAACAAATTGTATTTTAAAAATGACTAAAACCAAGTAACCAGCAATAAGCCATCTTTATGAGAATAATTTTAGTAAGTTTAGAAACCAATAAATTACAAAAATTGTATAATTGAGAACTTTCCTTTTTGGAAAATTAAGATAATAAAATGAATGTTTGTGAAGTCTTAAATAAAGAACAAACATCTAATCTATATTTTAGTTTTAAAAAATGTCAATATCTGAAAGGTTTCATAATTATATAAATATTAAAGTTATATATATCTTTATCACTAAAGAAAATAAAACATATACAACACTTAATTCATTTAAAACCATTATAAGATTAACTTTTGTTCTCTTTTAAAACGTATGGGAACCTTTAAATGCCTGAGTTTAGAAATGCCTATTTTGACTGAATAATATCACAGTTTGCAACAAAACCATACTTTTTCCTGTTAAAATATTGTTTAAATATAATTATTATGAATTTCAAAAGTGTGCAGAAACTTTAACAAGTATAATGTAATCAAGATTTTAAATGCTTAGCTAAAGCTGACCTTTAAATATGTATTCTAATCAATAATGAAATTTTATTTAGCACCCTGAAACAGTACTCTGAATGACATTATAGAGTAATAAGATAGAGTGCATTTGAACAAGTAAACTTTCAAGCATGGCAATACATTTTAAAAATTATAATGTCAATAGAGAAGAATATAAAATATGCATGTAAATAATATTTATGATAAAATAGTAGATTTTAGTTGTGACTCAGAATTGAGTTTAATTAAAGTAAATATTTTAAATGTATAGTTCTTTTTAACAAATAGTAATGTGGAAGTTATATTAGGAAAACCCAATTCAAAATGTTAGGTTTCAAAATCACAATTCTACTTTTAACATTTAACTAAATATGAAAAGTATAATTGCAATGGTGGGACAAACTGGGGAGAAAACTAATGTTTTGTTTGTTAGCTTCAATAATGTCACCATGTTTTTGGGTGAAGATAATATACAAAGCATAGCAATAAATATAATCAACTATAATTTCATTCTCTTGAGATAATCCCCATTAATATGTGCATTTGTTGATATGTATATTTCAATTATATGCTGTTTATGTTGGGCCATTGGATTGGTTGTTAGAAATACTATTATTTCCCGAACAATACTGTTTTAGCCTAGTTCCCACAGAGATGGCTTCCAATAAGATGCAACGTAATTCCCTCCCCATTATTCAGTCAGCATGACACAGTTGAGATTCTGTTATTCCAGGCAGTACTGATCTTTATATGTGTTTTTCAGAATTGTGATGTATTTCCAACAATTCAAAATTTTCTGCTGGACTTTTACCTGTTTCTGCAACCATTTTTTTAAAAGAAGCATTGTGCAACATTAAAATGTCTTTTATATTTCTAATACTCCTTTCTTTTTTTGGAGGAGATACAAAATTATCACGTCTCAACATTTTGTGAGGCACTATGAGTCCAAAATATTCCACCAAATGAAAACTAAGACAGAAAGAGAGTTAATAGAGAAATGAAAGACATAAGATACATTTCATAGTGAAATCAAGAGAGCACTCTAGAGTATTTATTCACTGGCCGAGAGCAATTCCAGTATGCAGAGTTAATATCATTCAATGAATGAGAACATACAGTGGAAAGTACCAGGCTGATTCTCTTTAGTTAATAGTGCATGACAGCACTCACAGCATGATACAAACAATATTGCACTATAAATTTTATATATATATATGTGTGTATGTAATTAAATTGAAGATATATTTTAGGTAGAAATAGATTTGGACTAAATTGGTAATGATAGGGAGAATATTATGTAGGAAACGTATGAATGTATTTATATATAGGTATATATTGTATACACTGTTTTAAATATTTCACTTTCATTTATTATTTTTTCATATTATGCCTTCAATATATCATGTGATAATTTGCTTATCATGTTGTATTGATATGCCATATTAATCTTGCAAAGCGTCTATTAATAAGCATTTACTGTTTCCAATTTTTCAGTGTTATAAGACGGTGAAATGCAAGCATGCATCTCCAGATTTTTTAAACTGTTTTATTAACTTAGAATAGTCAAAATAAAAAAATCCATACATTATGGAGTCTAGATGAATGAATTATCACATAGTGAACATACTGAGGTAGCTACTCTCTAGATCAATAAATTTATTACTCCCCATCCTCCTGCCTAAGATAAACACTTTTAATTTTTAACTTTATGTTATAGTTTTGTTTATTTTTAACCCTGACATAAGTAAAATCACACTGCATAATTTTTTATATCTTGCTTCTGTTGCTTAATAACACATTTTGGGATTTTTTTTTCCTGTTGCAAGTAGTCATAGTTAATTCATTTTCATTACTATATAGTGTTCCACTGTAGGACTTTACCAAATAGATTTCCAACTTTATTTTACTGAATTGGGTGATTTCAATTTGGAACTATTTTGAATACTACTGCTTGACCTCTTTTGTACATGTCTTTGGGGCCACAAAATTTGTTGAATAAATATTAAGGAGAGAAATAATAGATGTTAGAATTTACATAAGCTCAATGTCAATAGGTAACTACCAACATTTATCCAAAATATTTGTACCAATTTGCATCCCATTATAACTAGGAAATTATTGATTTTTCCATAAATTTAACATCACTTGATAATTCTGGGCTATTTAATTTTAGTCATTCCGATAGATGAATATTAATTTTTTTGTGATTTTAAATCACATTTCCTTAATGATTGCAGATACTGAGTAACTTTTCCAATATTAATTCACTGTTTGTAAATTCTCTTTTGTGAGATATTCTTGCCTTTTGAACATTGTGCTCGTGGATTGCTTGAAAATATTTTTTTTCCTTGATTTGCCTTTTCCCTCTCTATTTAATAGTCCCATTTGGTGAACAGAAAGTCTTAATATTACCGTCATACAAGTTTATCCACCTTTTCCTTAATGATACGTGCTTTTTAATTCTGTGAGGGAAATTTTTGCCTACTTAAGGGAGTGAGATAGTTTCTCATGTTACTGCCTGGAAACCATATTGTTTCATCTTTAATGTCTACCCTTACAATTAACTTGCAATTGATTTTGGGGGGTTATGAAGGGATGCCATGGGAGAACATCAAGAGCACAGTTTATCCTCCCAGGAACCTGTTTCAAATGACAAAGTCCCTCAAGAATGAAACACCAATCGATTATGTCCTCTTGCTGATCTTTCCACAGTAATTCTCTTCACATTGTCAGCGTTTTTGAAGTATAAGTATTTTTGAGGTTATGCTTTATGTTTTATATAATCTAATTTTTCCCTAGAAAATTTGATCCAATTATATATCTGCTATTATTAGAAGTAAACTTTCTGTTTTGTTTTTAATACTTTTTTTTTTTTAGATGGAGTCTTGTTCTGTCACCAGGCTGGAGTGCAGTGGCGTGATCTTGGCTCCCTGCAACCTCTGCCTCCCGGGTTCACGCCATTCTCCTGCCTCAGCCTCCCGAGTAGCTGGGACGACAGGCGCCCGCCACCATACCCGGCTAATTGTTGTATTTTTAGTAGAGACAGGGTTTCACCATGTTGGCCAGGATGATCTCGATCTCTTGACCTTGTGATCCGCCCGCCCCGACCTCAAAATGCTAGGATTACAGGTGTGAGCGACCGCGCCCGGCCATTTTTAATACTTTTTAAATAAACTTTGGATTTACTGGGTATGTTTTAATTCTTTGATTGATTGTTTTCTTATCAAAGAAAGTTTTCAGGATTCCTTTTTCCCTTTTTATGATGGTCTTTTCTAGTTTCAAATTTTAATAACTCTCAGCTTGTATTAAGATAGATAGGAAATTTTTAATGTTTTGTTTTTGTTACAATTTTCTTTTAATTTTAGCGAATATTGTCATTGGAATTTCTTTTTTCCTGACTATTTTAAGCCTCAATTTAACAATATCAGGTATCTAGATTCTTGGTTATTTCATTCTTGTAGAGGAAGTGATATGTTACTTATTCGTTAAAATTATGTGAGTTCTCTAAGAAGCGATGAGCATGTCTGTTTAACTTTCTTATCTTAAGGTTAAGGAAAAGCATACATTTATTTTATTCCAAAACTACAATGCCAAAACACGTTGGGAATATGCTGACATAAACTATCTCATAGAAGAAACCTTGACAGAGAGTTGTACCTTGAGACAAAAGCTTCATTCTTATTGTTCTTGGGGCAAGACCTTCTTTCTATTATTTTCAGAAACACCAGCACTGGAAGACAGCAGGGAGAAAAATGTTTGTTTTCCCCCATTAATTATCAATATCGTGTTGTTCAAAAGGGATTGAATGGAGAGACCTCCATCCACTCCATCAATATTTTATCATTTTGTTTATTTTGTACTATGCAGACATAATTGAGAGTACTCACCCCTTCACTCCACTCTTTCAGTGCTACCTTCATTTCTGACTCCTGGAGTTTCGCGCTCAAGAGAATCAATTAGGTTTTGCTGAGTACATATTTATTTTCCTTCTCAGTGTGTTTTTACTTCTTAATCAACAAATTACAGTGAGTTGCCTTTTCCTTTAGCCTGCTTTCACACACTGCTTTGCAGAAACTCCTTGAGATTTTTCATGTGTAAATGTTTTTATTTCCGAGTTTTCGGGGCAAATATTGACATGAATAAAATATGTAAATATATTTTTGTAAAAATCCTGAAGTCTGAACAACAAATACATAGCTTTGTTTCCAACAATTTTATTTCATTTGGTTCAAAGTCTGCTAAACTGCTTTAGAAATTAGACTCTGCTGAGAGTTTATTTTTCATAATCTTCCAAAATAAAAAAGAACTTGGTGATGGGATTTTTTAAAAAGCCACCATTGTATGCTAAACTCACATTGTGCTACAGTGCTACATAGGAAATGTTAACATAATTAAGAATTTTAAATTAGGAAAATTTAAATAGGATTCTACTAAAGGAAAAACATGAAAAAACATACACGTAGATAACGTGTAATACAAGGTTAATATAAATGTCACATAGATTTATACAAATATTTTTCCATACAAAAGGCTGAGTGGGAGAGAGATTGATGATTGCCATTAGCAGTAGCAATGGAAGGAAAAGCTTAAGAAAGGCTTTTGGTAGAAAAAACGGTTTGAGCAATGCTACCGAGATGTGAAAGTGCACAGCACATATGTTGGAAAATACCTAAAGCAAAGGGTATGCAAAAGAGAAAAAAGCACTAGCTGAAAAAGATGACAAACTGATTTTTTAAAGGGGCCAAGCTTGAAAGACATGTAAAAAGAATTGATATTGCATGCCAGAAAGGGGAATTATTGGAGGATTTTGATCGGAGGAGAGTGAGTTCTCAATGTGTGTGTGTATGTGCGTGTCTCTGTGTGTGTAACTCTGGTTACATTGTGGAGGGTAGAAACCTATATACTTTCTAACTTTTTAAGCTTTGTTTTTATTTTTGCTACAAATAGATGCCTTAAAAATCCGGAACTCTCTTAGTCACTGTCCTATACTCAGTCCCCAGCATGATGTCTTTTTCATTGTAACTTTAGTGCAGATGCATTAGTTGTGTTCAAAGAGAAACTTTAGACAAATTTAACTTAAAAGTTTATTTGAGCAATTCATGAGTCAAGCAGCACTCAAATCAGAAGAGGTTCAGAGAGGTCTCCTAGTGGACAGTGAATATTTATAGACAGAGCACTGAAATAATGTACAGAAATAGCTTTATTGGTTGCAGCTAAGTGTTTGTCCTATTTGGACATGGCCTAATCATTTGGAAGCCTGTGATTGGCTGAAGTTCGACTGCTTATGATTGAGTGAGAACTGGCTGTCTGTAATTTAAAAATATGCCCCTAGTTAGGTTCAGTTTGTCTATGTACTAAGTAAGACTGTAGTTTATTATGTAAGAACTCGAAGTATGGAGACAGTCTTAGGCCAATGGCCTCCTGCTTATTTAATTTAACAGGTGAGGTAATGAATAAAATAATTGGATGGATGAAGACAATTAAGAGACAAGACAATTACAATTATACTTATGTCAGAAAAACTTAGGTCTCTGGTCCTTGGGAGTGAATACAATTAAAAACATTGAGAATGAATATGAGAAATAAAATGAATAAATATTTCAGAGGTAAAATTAGCAGAAATGGGTGACCAACTGGTTACTTTTTACCCATTATTTTATATGTTCAGGGCTGACATTTAGTTTTCTAGTCTGGGTAAAATTAAGATAGCTTTATCTCCTTTCTCTTTGTTTCTCCTGATAATATTCTTAATCCTTATCCAATACTAACTTGAATAATGGTGATGCTACTGATATAAAATGAATACAAAAAGAAGTATATTTTCAGTGGAAGAAAATAATATATCTTGGTAGGAATATATTGAATTGAATAACCAGCAACATATCTGGTTGGAGTTTCCCCTCCAGGTGTTGAAAAGAAATAAAGGGCACCTTTAAATTGAGGATCAATCTTCATGGGATAATTAATTGAAGTTGCAGGAATAGAGTATTGAGGAGAGAAAGAGTATTGAGGAAGAGTGGGTACAGATCTCGTTCATTTATTCATGCAGTTATAAACTTTGTAATGGAATATAACTGACACTGAATATCTAACACTGAATAAGTAGCTGGATATTCAAAGGTTATTAATCCCAGTCCTTACCCTCACATGTATTATGATAAACATACTTAATAGAATATAAAATAACCTATTATAGTCATATTTCAAGTGTATTCTTTATCTAATGAAATAGTCTGCTTTGCAAATTCAAGAAATCTTTCTATAGAAATTTGTTGGCAACCTTTTTTTTTAAAGAACAAAGTAGTAAATATTTTTCATTTGTAGACCGTATAGTTTGTCACAACTACTTGACTGTCAGTGTAGCATCAAAGCAGCCAGAAACAATAGTTAAAAAAAAAGAATGATTGTGTTCCAATAAGACACTATTTACAAAAACAAGACAATGAGATGGATTTTGCCAGCAAGTCTTAGTTCGCCAGCCCCTAATGCAGAAATTGATGACTGGGCTGCATCTGGAAGAATGACTAAGAGTTTCCCAAGCATGAAGTGTTAAGTTCAGATATAATACTCTTTTTTTGTCTCCTGTTATAGTAATTTCCATGTAAGAAGAGTTATTATTTATTTACTGATCTACTGTCAATGAAAAGAAAAATGTATTTCCCATAATAGATACTCAATAAATATTTGTTAAATAATTATTTTACCATTCAGGTTGGTCTTTGTACCAGGCAGATAATAGTATTTGCAGAAGATTCCAACTATCTTACTTTTAAAAATTTTACTCAATAATAGGTGTTAAATGTTATCAAATATCTCTTTTATCTCTCCTGAGAAAATAATTTATTTTATCTTATAAAGCTCTAAGGTAAACCACTCTTACCTTCCTCAGATTAATTCCTCTTAAGCATGTGTGGAGGCTTAAAAAAATACAACCACTTTGTCCCTACTATCATCAAAATGCGAAGTCTATGCCCCAATGCTTGAATATGGAAGGCTTGGAATTACTTTGACAAGTAAGTAACAGCAGAACTGGCATTTTAAAACTTCCAAGCGTAGGTCATAAAATGGCATGTAGCTTCTGCCTTTGCAGCAGGGACACTAGTATTTGAATTCCTGAACTATGATATGAGAAGGTCAAGCACACTGAGCTTACTTTGTAAGAGAGGCCATGTGGAGGTCTTCCAATTGACAGTTTCAGCAATGTTCCTGGTGACGGTCAGCATCAATGGCCAACCATATATGTAAGTCATCTTGTATGGCCAATACAGTTGGGATTTCAGGTGACCGCAACCCTAGGTTGCACTTCAGCTCTAACCACAGGGGAGACAAATGGGTATTGCCCAGTTAAGCCCTTCCTGAAATTCTGATCCACAAAACGAGAAAAAAATTAAGCTTATGCTTTAAGCCACTAAGTTTTGTTGTAATAAGTTTTACAGCGATAGTAACTGAGTGATAAATGTATATTATTTTTCAATATCCTGTTGTGTTTGGTTTGAGCTGAACTAAAAAAGTATATATTTATGTTTTAATTTTAACCAATTTTGCTATCAGAGTTATATAGAAACATTTGGATACTTTCTGTATTAAATCTTCTGTAATTCTAATACCTTAAAGTTTTGAAAAGACTTACAATAAAGCCATATGGATATAGATCTTTGCAATAGAGCATAGCGTACATACAATGAAAATATTAATTTATATGCAAGGCAACACACTAAAAACTTTACACAAATTATTTTTTAATTCATGCAACAAAAATCATTATAAGGTAGTGTTATCATGCCAATTTTAAAGATGCTGGAACTATGGCATAACAATTGGCCAAGGACACATAGTGAGTACAAAAACCCAAAAATCATGATTTCAATGAACATGACTCTAGATAGTATACATAAGTGTTCAATTTCTTTGGTGATTATTGGCAATCCAGTCAAGTTAAATTTTGCATATATATTACTCACGTCAGTTTCCCCAAAACATGGTTTATATCAGCTAGTTATAAAATTTGCTTATAGATATAAAATATGCCCAATTACTTTAAGTTCACTTAAAGACATATCTCTATTTTTAATTTATTAGGCTTGACAGATATTTGCATATCACATCATTATTTTATATAATAAACCTCTGTATCATCTTGTGTATATAAAAATTATATGAATTTATATATAGTGAAAGATATTTATCTATAATAAAATAAGTTTTACATATTTGTAATAAAATAACTTGCATATGTTTTACATATATGAGTATAGGTGTGCATGTGTGTGTATAGCTTTCCCACTCTCCCAGAAAGAGGTTTTGAATCTTCTCTCTCCACGAATCTCTAATTCAACTTTTACTACCCTCATGCTCTGCTGAAAAGCTTGATTCATTTGAGGGGAGAAATGAAGAGAGTAATTTACTTTTTTTTTATCATGGTAAGAATGCATAAAATAAATCTAACTTCTTAACAATCTTTTAAGTACACAGTATTGTTAACTACAGGCACAATGTTGTATAGCAGATCTCTAGAACTTATTCATCTTGTATAACAGAAACTTTATGCCTGTTCAACAGCAACTCAACTCCCATTTTCTCCTACCCCCATCCCCTGGCAACACCATTCTAGTCTCTGTTTCTATGAGTTTGACTAATTTAGATTCCTCATATAAGTAGGAATATGTAGTATTTCTCCTACTATGTCTGACATATTTTACTTAGCATAATGTGTTTCGTATTCATCCATATTGTCTCATATGGCAAGATGACCTTATTTTAAAAGCTGAATAACATTTTATTATATAAAACGAATGTGGTGATTCCTCTGTAATGCATGAAGTGAAGGTTTTTAAAGACACATATATAAAAGGTGTTTCTTGGAGTGCTACTGAGCTGCATGTTGATAATAATGTAATTTTAGTGAATTTATGTGGTGACAAATCTCTAATGCTTATAGTAAAGTGCTTAAAGTGCTTAAATATATATATTTCTAAGAGTGCAAAAAAATCCATTATATATATATGCACCACATTTTCTTTATCTATTCAAGCATTGATTGACAGTTGGGTTTTTTTTTTCATACCAGAGCTATTATTGATAATGAAATAATTATTAAAAATGTGAAAATGCATATATACAAAATCTTATATATAATATGATAATTCTAAGAGCATAAAAAATTCATTTTATATATCTGCACCATATTTTCTTTATCCATTCGTCCATTGATAGACAGTTGGGTTGTTTTTTTCATAACAAGGCTATTTATGAATAATGCTGCAAAGAATATGGCAGTGCAGATGTCTTTTCAAGATCCTGATTTTGATTATTTTGGCTATACACCCAGAAGTGGGATTACTTGATCATATGGTAGCTCTATTTTTAATTTTTTTAGAAACTTCCATACTATTTTCAATAGTAGTTGTACTACTTTACATTCCCAGCAACAGTGTAGAAGTTTTTCCATTTTTCTCCATTCTTGTCAACACACAGACACACACATATATTACATATGTGTGTGTATATATCCATATATATAATAGCCATCTTAACAGATGCATGATGGTATCTCATTGTGATTTTGATTTTAATTTTCCTTAAAATTAGAGAGATTGAACATTTTTAAAAAAATAGATGTAGAGATTTTTAAATTTTATTTTATTTTAGATTCGGGGGTATATATGCAGGTTTGTTACATGTGTACTCATTGTTTAGCTTTTGCTTGTAAGTGACAACATGCAACATTTGATTTTGTTTCTGAGTTATTTCTCTTAGGATAATGACCTCCATGCTGCTGAGAAGGGCATGATTTTATTTTTTATAGCTGCATAATATTCCATTATGTATATATGCCTCATTTTCTTTATCTAATCAACCACTGATGGACACTTAAGTTGAGTCTATAACTTTGCAATAGTGCAAAAAGGACTTTGTAACTAATGCTGCAATAAACATATGGGTGCAAGTGTATTTTTCGTAAATAATTTATTTTCCTTTGGGTAGATACCCAGTAGTGGGATTGCTGGGTTGAATGGTAGTTCTATTTTTAGTTCTTTAGGAAATCTCCATACTGTTCTCTATAGGAGTTGAACTAATTTACATTCCCACCAACATTGTATAAGCATTCCTTTTTATTCACATCTTCACCAAGATATATTGAATAACTTCATATACTTGTTGTAAATCTGTCTCTCTTTTTTTGAGAAATGTCTATTCAAGTCCTTTATCAATGTTTTAATTATGATTTTTTTTTGAATTGTAAAACTTCCATATATATTTGGATATTAACCTGTTCTCAGATACATGATTTGCAAACATTTTCTCCCAGTACATCGACTGCCATTTAATTCTGTTGTTTCATTTGCATGCATATTATTTTTAGTATGATGTAGTTCTGCTCGTCTATTTTTGCTTTTTTGGTGATGATTTCAGAGTCAGATCCAAGAAAGCTTTACCTGGACCAATGTAATAAAAGTTTTTCTCCTATATTTTCCTGTAGGAATTTCAGTTGTAGGTCTTAGGTACAAACCTACGATTAATTTTGAGTTGATTTTTGTTCATGTGTAAGATAATGTTCTAATGTCATTCTTTTTTTTTTTTTTTTTTTTTTTTTTGACGGAGTCTCGCGTTGTCTCCCAGGCTGGAGTGCAGTGGCGCGATATGGGCTCACTGGAAGCTCCGCCTCCCTGGTTCACGCCATTCTCCTGCCTCAGCCTCCAGAGTAGCTGGGACTGCAGGCGCCCGCCACCGCGCCCGGCGAAGTTTTTTGTTTTTTTTTTTTTTGTATCTTTAGTAGAGACGGAGTTTCACCGTGGTCTTGATCTCCTGAGCTCTCGACCCGCCTGCCTCGGCCCCCAAAGTGCTGGGATTACAGGCATGAGCCACCGCGCCCGGCCTCTGATGTCATTCTTAAACATGTGGGTATCTAGTTTTCCCAAAACTATTTGTTTTAGAAACAATTATTTCTCCATTGTGTATTCTTGGCACGTATGTTAAAGATCAGTTCATCATATATGGGTGAAAATATATGACATGGGCTCTCTATTCTGTTCCATTGCTTTATATACCTTTTTCAATGCTAATACTATAAAGTTTTATTTATTGTAGCAATGTAATATATATTTTGAAATCATAAAGCCTGATGCCTCTACCTTTTTTTTTTTCTTTCTCAAAATTGATTTGGCTATTCAGGGTCTTTTGTGGTTCCGTATGAATTTTAGGATTTTTTTCTCTTTCTGAAAAAAAAGCCACTGGAATTTTACCAAAACATATGAAATGCAGCAAAAGCAATACTAAGAGAGAAGTTTATAGTGATAATTAACCCCTAAATTATTTTAAAAGCATACATTAAAAAGGAAAGATCTTAAATAAACAACTTAAGGTTAGCTCCAAGGAACAAGAAAAAGAAGAACCAGTTAGACCAAGGTTAGCAGGAGAGAAATAATAAAAATTGCAGCAGAAATTTTTTTAAAAGACAGAATGTAGAAACAATGGAAAAAATAAAACAGTAAGAGATGGTTTTGAAAATATATACAAAATTGACAAATACTTACCCAGAGTAAGAATAACAGAGTAGACTCAAATAAATAATATCAGAAATAAAAGAGGAGACTTGGTGACTAATACCACAGAAATATAAAAATTATGAAATAAAATTAATATTTATATGCCAACAAACTGGATAACCTAGAATAAAATGATAAATTTTTAGAAATACACAACCTAACAATACTGCATCTTGAAGAAACAGAAAATTTTTAAAGTACAATATAGAATAAGAAAATGAATCAGTAATAAAAACTCTCCCATCAAAGAAAACCCCAAAATCAAATGGCTTTTCTGGTGAATTCTACCAAAAAAATTAAATAATTAATACCAATATTTCTCAAACTCTTTAATAATTGAAGATGAGGGAACACTTTCAAATTCATTTTCTGAAGCCAGAATTACTCTGATTCCAAACCAGACTAGGACACTATGAGAAAATAAAATTACAAGACAATATCCCTTATGCATATACATCCAAAAATCCTGAACAAATACTAGCAAACCTAATTCAAAAGCATATTAAAAGGATCATAGAGTAAGATCATCTATGATTTATCCCGGAATTGTAAGGAAGTTTCAACATACACAAATTAGTTAATGTAATATACCACATGAACAGAATGAAGGATAAAAATTATATGATTATCACAATAGATGCAGAAAAAGCATTTGACAAAATTCAACACTGTCTCACAATAAAAATTCTCAACAAAGTAGTTATAAAATAAATTTATCTCTATATAATAAAAGCCATATATGAAAAACACACAGTTGGTATCACATTAATGGTGAATATCTGAAATCATTAAGATTGAAAAGAAGGTAAGGGAGTCCACTCTCATCATTTCTATTCGTCATAGAATTAGGAGTCTAATAGCCAGAGCAATTAATCAAGAAAAATAAATAAAAGACATTCAAATTGGAAAAGAAGAAATTAATTATCTCTCTTTCCAGGAGGATTGATATTATATGTAAGGAACTCTGAATACTCCAATAAAAAACTATTAGATCTAAAAGAAAATTCAGTAAAGTTTCAGGATACAAAATCAACATAAAAATTTAGTTTTATTTCTGTACAGTAACAATGAACTATCCACAGAGAAAATAAAGAAAAAAATAACGTTTATAAAAGCATGAGAAAAATAAAATTTATTTATTTATTTATTTTTGAGATGCAGTCTCGCTCTGTCGCCCAGGCTGGAGTGCAGTGGCAAGATCTCAGCTCACTTTGTAGATGTGATTAAATTGGAGATTTTGAGATGGGGAGATTATCCTATAGCCTCTGGGCAGGCACGATCTATATATTAACACAAGGGTCCTCATAAAGGAATGAGGAGAGTAGGAGAGTCGGAATGAAATGTGGTGATGGAAGCATCCATCAGATTAATGTGACCACAGAAAGGAAACCACAAATCCGTGAAAGAGGCAAGCTTCTTGGTTCTTGGAAGGCAAATCTATTTATTCTCCCTTAGCGACTCCAGAAGGAAGGTAGCTCTGTCAATATCTTGATTTTAGCCTAGTGAGATACATTTTGAACTTCTGACTTCCAGAACCATAGCATAATAAGTGTATAGTCTTTGGGCCACTAAGTTCAAGGTAACTGGGTATAGCATCAATGGGAAACTGAGACTAGGCAAACTTCTCTATTCCTCAAAGGAGATATTTAAACCACCTGCTTTTTCTTCAAACGTTTACCTCCTTTCTTACCCTTAGCACAAAATTTACATCCTACTTCGTAAAAAAATAAAAAATAAAAAATTAACCAGAAAAACCCTTCAACTTGCTGCAGGTAACCCTGTCTTCACACTCAATTTTCATAGGCAAGTCATACACAAGTATTGTAGACATTTCCATTAATGAAAATGAAGAAAAGTAACCTCATTAAACAGATAATATAGAATCAATGCAAGTAAGTGAAAATCTGTTCCTTCTAGCCTTCAGCCAACAGGAGATGTAGGATGTTAGTGCTATACTCACACACACACACACACACACACAAAAGAATTTGGTAAGAAAAGCAAGTTTTAGAGCTAAAATGAGAGCTTTACTTTGGACACGTTGCCCAACTGTCATCTGAATATCATATTTACAACAATAAGATATTGGAGTTGAATAAGTCAAGGTTAAAAGTAATCTAGTCCAAGTATCTCATGTTTTGTTTAATGTAAGAAGCATAACCTATAAAAATTAAATGACTTGGCCTAGGTAGATATACATATAAGTGGCAAAATCAGGACTGGATTTTAAGTCATCTGACAATAATTGCTTTCATTTACATGCTAATGACTCTATATAAAATATTTTTTCTTGAAACACCTCTAAAAATCCCAAAGGCAATGTATTAATTTATTAAACACTTTAATTCCTAGCCTGAAATGATAGTTTAACACTTTGTTCTGTATTGTTAGAACCTGCCATTCAAAAAATTATGAATTTAATTCATTGAAAAATTCCTTATTATTTTCTCTTTACATAAAGAATTCTTGTCATTCCCATTTTAAAAGGCAGATAACTTATCATTATGCACTACATATTGCCAACAATGAGGCTCACAACTTTTGCTCTTTTTCAACAACTATAATTTTCTATAATGATGTTATACATTCTCTATTGTTTGAGTCTTTCAATATCAATAGGCAACTGAATATGCATCTCAGACTACATAACAGGCACATGACCATTGTAATCTTTACTTGCACAATATTTATGTGTGACTCAAATGCCAATAATACTGTAGTCTTCCTAAACTCTATATTTATGTTATAAAGTTTGTGCTTATACTTGTAAATAGCAACCAAACGTACTGAGAGACAACCACATTACAGCTAAAATTGTGTATCTAACTTCATCCTACCTCCTTGCAATAAGCACATACACATAATTATGTGAAAGTAGAATTTAAATCAGTAAAAAAAATACTTCTAGAATAATTTTGGATGAAATATAAAAATAAATAATATAAAAAGTAGATGGACTATAACTCATCTAATTATTTACTCCGAATGCTTCCAACTTCATATATATTATTCTACATCTTCATAATCTATTATGTTTTGACATCCTCATAGTGTCACAGCTACTTACACTATTGTGACATTGATGTCAGAGATACTTTAGTTACTAAAGAACAATTTTTATTTGTATTTGTTCAATGCCTCAAAACTGTCTAATTAAACAATTGACAACTGCCTTTCTTGAACTCTTAGCCATTAATTATAAATTGATAAATAAATTTGATATACTTGAATAGTATATTAGGAATAGTAGGAATGGCAATGCACATGGACTTTTCAGACATCATAAAACAGATTATTTGTATATTTAAATATTATTAATGCTATTGTATCAATACTAATGTTTTTAAAATATTAACTTTTTTGTTATTCATTATATCATGCCTTGTAACATTCATAGTCTCTAAGGCTTAGGTAAATTTGCTATATGTTATCATTTTTATCACTAACTTGGATTCTTCTTTGAAGCCTGGACATTGTGACATGGTCCACATTGACTCAAATCTTAGGCAGAGGCCTCTAACATTTAAAAAATTTACTTGATATGAAATACAAACCTTTGGTAGTTGACTTAAATAAAGATTTTAATTTTACACAAAGTAGAATTTTCCAGAATTTAGGTGCATTGTAACATTTATATAGCATGTGATACCTAGCATATAATCCTATCATGATTATATATAGATGATCTATTAGCATTGTTAAAAATGTACAGGTTTCTCATTAGTATTTTATAATAATTAGTCAGGGCTATTATAATTAGAAAAGGTTTAATTTCCTATGAGATGAGAAATTACATATGCATATTTAACTCTCATCTTTTAGGTTATTTGTCTAATTTGTCATTTAAATATGCTGTTACACCTTCTTTCTAATTTATTATTGTGTAATGTCCATCAACATGAACCAGATGGTGGACTCTCCTCCCATCTTCTTATTTTATATGAGCAACTAATACTAATAATTACTTTCTATTATTTGTGTTGCTCTTGATGTTTGGAGTACTGCTTTAAATAACACAAGTTTCTGTTCACTCTTTTATGATCTGTACAAAGTAACTGATTTATACCAGTAATCCTAAGAAGACACACCTGAAAAATATAATAAAATACTAAACCCATAAACTACCATACTACTAATAATTAGAACCATAAAAATATAAATATTATATTACTGTTTGTAGCTAACTTTATTCATCACAATTAATATTAATCTTTATGTTTCCATTAATCATCACTATATACTTATGTCATTATCAAGGTTGAGCTTATTGTGATAAATCCTTATTATATTGTTGATGTAGTTGCTGTTTGCTTCAGATAAAATGGTCATAGCTTCAACTATGGGTAAACCTTTAGCTAGCTTCTTTGTTGTTTTATGACTATGTTGCAATTAAAGCATAGCACAAACTCTAAAGGCAGACAGACAGAATTTCTATCCTATCCCTGCTAGCTCTGTAATCTTAGACAAGTTATTTACTCTCTCCGTGCTCATCTGTAAAATGAAGGAAATAATGGTTCCAACCTCACAATGTTATGATGAGAATTGAAGAATTTAATCCCTGTGAAGCAACTGAAACAGTTCTTACTAAACACTATAATTAAACTTTTAATAATTAGTATTAAACTTTTAATAATTATTAGCTATCACCACTATAGTTTTGTTGTTGCTATTATTATATTATTTTATTATTAGACATAAAAGAGTATTCTAGTAACACCTTTATTTTCTATTTTAATATGTGGAACCAATACTTCCCCAAGCATTTTGGATTATTTTTAGTGTTAGTTTCTTATTAGATGCACAAATCTAGGAGTAGCAGGGTGTAGGATGGCATAGAGTTTTGGTGGGCAAGAGTGCTGCTGTTGATGTTGAGCCAGTCTTTGTAAAGAAAATGTCTCTTATTTGGAGTTATGAGATTTCATTGACCTTTTCAGTGTAATTTTATGGCAATGTCCTTTAACATTTTAAGCAGGTTTATGGATATACAATTCATACCATATAATTCATTCATTTAAAGTGTACAATTTAATGGGTTTTAGTATGTTCATAGAGTAGTGAAACCACCACCAAAGTCTATTTCAGAACATTTTCATCTTATCACAAAGAAATTCTGTAACCATTAACAGTCACTCTCAAGCTGACCCCTCAAATCTGCCCATCCCGAGACAACAACAAATCTACTTTTTGTTTCTACATATTTTCCTATTTTGGACATTTTATATGATACACTCATATAATACATGACTTATTTCACTTGGCATAATGTTTGCACGGTTTATCCATGTTGTAGCATGTATTATTGCTTTATTCCTATTTATTTCAGCAAAAAAATTTACTCTGTGGATATCCCATATTTTTTACACCCTTTCATCACTAGATAGACATTTGGGTTGTCTACACTTATTGGCTTTTATGAATAGTTCTGCTATGAACATCCAGTATCTTGTTTGTAGTGTCTACATTCAGAGCAGCACTAACTTAATAACAAAAATTTCCAAGCGTAAATTATCTTAATGAGTAACTCAAAAATCAAATGTAGCATTTAGAAGAATAAGAAAATTTACTGAAATAAAACAAATGAGCTATCATGGAAGGACATTACCAAAAGAAGTGACAACTATAATAGAGAATGTCATCAGCAGCTGAACAATTATGCAAACAAAAAAAAAAAAGAAAAAGGAAACAACAACCACTACTAGAGTATTTGGATAAGACAATTTGAGCTAAAGTTATATAGACAATTCACCATAGTTACCACTTCTAAAATCAGGGCAATAATAAGATAATTTTGGAGCTCAAATTAATTATGTATATGCATATAATTTATACTCATTGTTAGTACTTTTAGGAATATTTAATGGTTGCTTTTATATTAAAAAATATAACAGTAACATGTCTAAAACTTACACTTCTTGAAAAGGTATCTTACTACAGGGAGAGTTCTTAAGCTCTGAATAATGGAAATAAATTCCAGTGGTTCATGTCATAACTGGGCATGTAGCAGCAATGCTGATACGGTTTGGCTGTGTCCTCACCCAAAACTCATTGTAATCCTCAGAATCCCAAAGTGTCAAGGAAGAGACCTGGTGGGAGGTGATTAAATCATGGGGGCAGTTTCCTCCATGCTGTTCTTGTGATAGTGAGAGAGATCTAGTGGTTTTATAAGGCAGTTTTCCCTGCTCTTACTCACACTCCCTCCTGCCGCCTTGTGAAGAAGGTGCCTGTTTCCTCTTCTGCTATGATTATTGTTTCCTGAGGCCTCTCTAGCCATGTGGAACTGTAAGTCAATTAAACTACTTTCCTTTATAAATTACCCAGTCTTGGACACTTCTTTATAGCAGTGTGAGAATGAACTAATACAGGAAATTGGCACCATGGAGAGTGGGGTACTACTATAGAGATACCCAAAAACGTAGAAGCGGTATTAGAAGTCGGTAACAGGCAGCAGTTGGAACTGTTTGGGGGAGCTCAAAAGAAGACAAGATTTGGGAAGGTTTGGAACTTTTTAGAGACTTCTTGAATGATTTTGACCAAAATGCTGATCATATTATAGATAATGAAGCCCAAGCTGAGGTGGTATCAGATGGTGATGAGGAACTTCTGGGAAACTGGAGCAAAGGCCATTCTTGCTATGCTTTAGTAAAGGGACTAGCAGCATTTTGCCCCTGGCCTAGAGATCTGTGGAAGTTTGACCTTGAGAAAGATGATATGAAATTGGAACTTATGTTTAAAAGGGAAGTAGAGCATAAAAGTTTGAAAAATTTGCAGACTTGATGAGGTGATAGAAAAGAAAAAAAAACATTTTCTGGGAAGAAATTCAAGCAAGATGCAGAAATTTGTGTAAGTGACAAGAAGCCAAATGTTAATCATGAAGACAATGGGGAAAATATCTCCATGGCATGCCACAGATATTGGGGTTAGACCCTCTCATCACAGGCCCAGAGGCTTAGGAGGGAAAATGGTTTTATGGGGCAGTCCCAGGGCCCCCCTGCTCTGTGCAGCCTCAGGACTTGGTGCCTTGTGTCCCAGCTGCTTCAGCTCCAGCCATGGCTAAAAGGAGTCAAGGTACAGCTCAAGCTATTCCTTCAGAGGGTGCAAACCCCAAGCCTTGGCAGCTTTCACATGGCATTAGGCCTGTTAGTACACAAGAAACAACTGAAGTTTGGGAACCTCTGCATAGATTTCAGAGGATGTACAAAAATGCCTGCATGTCCAGGAAGAAGTTTGTTGCAGGAGTGGAGACCTCATGGAGAACCTCCTCTAGGAAACGTGGGTTTGGAGGCCCCACACAGAGTCCCCACTGGGGCACTGCCTAGTGGAGCTGTGAGGAGAGGGCTACTGTCCTCCAAACCCCAGAATGGTAGATGCACTGACAGCTTGAACTGTGCACCTGGAAAAGCCACATACACTCAACACCAGCCAGTGAAGGTAGCGAGGACGGGGGCTGTACCCTGCAAAGCCACAGGCACAGAGCTGCTCAAGAACACGGAGCCCACCCTTTGCATCAACGTGACCTGGATATGAGACATGGAGTCAAAGAAGATAATTTTGGAGCTTTAAGATTTATTGACTGCCCTGATGGATTTCAGACTTGCACAGAGCTGTTATTCCTTTGTTTTGATCAATTTCTCCCATTTGGAATGGTAGCATTTATCCAATTCCTGTACCTCCATTGTATCTTGGAAGTAACTAACTTGCTTTTGATTTTATAGGCTCCTAGGCAGAAGGGACTTACCTTGTTTCAGATGGTACTTTGGACTTGGACTTTTGGGTTAATATTGGAATGCATTAAGACTTTGGGGGACTGTTGGAAAAGCATGATTGTATTTTGAAATGTGAGAATATGAGATTTGGGAGGGACCAGGTGCAGAATGATATGGGTTGGCTGTGTCCCCACCCAAATCTCATCTTGAATTGTAATCTGCATAATTCCCACATGTCTAGGAAGAGACCTGGTGGAAGGTGATTGGATCATGGGACGGTTCTCCTATGCTGTTCTTCTGATAGTAAGTGAATATAAAACCACAAGTTCTGGTGGTTTTATAAGGCAGTTTTTCCTGCTCTTGCTCACACTCTCTCCTGCCACGTTGTGAAGGTGCCTGCTTCCCCTTCTGCCACAATCGTAAGTTTCCTTAGGCCTCCCTAGCAATGCAGAACTATGAGTCAATTAAACCTCTTTCCTTTATAAGTTACCCAGTCTCAGGCAGTTCTTTATAGCAGTGTGAGAATGGACTAATATAAATGGCAAGGTGAATAAAATGATGGTTATTTTATATTTACAACTTCCATAGGAAGTAACTATCTACTTAGCGTTTACCATCAAGTTTGAAGAGAATGCTTTGTTAGCTAAATGTCAAAGTGTCTCCTGAAAATATTTTAGTAATATTTTTAAAATAGTATCAAAGTATAGTAAGTTATGCAACACTATAATCTCACACTGTTTTTTGTTAGTCTAAAGGCAGTTTATTCTCTTTAATACATATTTGAAGAAAAATTATGTCAATACATGATTATAACTAAAGCAGAGAAATATAGATGCTATTCACATATTTTGTATTTCCATTCAATTTTTAACATATATTTATTATCATTTTTTAGGTTGATAACCTTTCTGTTGAAATAATTCTCCTTCCTACTTACTGTAGGAACATTCTGTATTATTACATACTTATTTCACCTGGAGTTGAAATATGGATAGTGATCACATATTCCTAAACAATTTACGAAATGAATTTTATACTTTACATTAAAGCATCATTTGTAACATTGTGTTTAGAATAATAATATTAAATATAGAATAACTTGGTCAACATTTTCGTGGTTTTAAGACATTGGTTCTTTTTAAACTTTTCTACCTTTCTTAGGCATACTTATTCATACACCATATTTTAATTTGAAAATGCCAAATAAACATGGCTTATTATTATAGTGGAGAAAAGTGACTTTTAAACAGAGCTTCAAGCAGAAGACAAGAAGTTCATTCACATTTTAAAATATTGTTGTTAACTTCTTTAACTGGTATGTTACCAAAAATTTGTAATTGTATTTTATGCTTATACAACTATAAAGAATACCTCATTTTCCAAGTGAAGTTAGATTAGTATAGTATAGCCAGGGTTTTAATTCTGATTTGTCAAAGATATGAAACACATTTTTTAATAATAAAAATATCAACTTTGAACACATGCCTTACTAATATTCATGTTTCATATCACATTTTGTCAACCAATGTGATTTTAATACCATTATTCTGCAATTTGACATTATTAAGGAGTTATCATTTGAGAATTTTTGTCATCTAGTTGATATTGTTTTAGTTTTAGTCAATAGCACCAGAAGCCTCTTTTTAGAGTGGCAATATATTACTCTACAGTGGACATCTATAGTAGAATGAAGAATGGCTGAGATCACTCATAAAACAGCCTTATGTTGTTCATGAGGGAATGAGTTGAAATGGTAGTGTAAGCCTTGAGGGCAATGTTGTAGATATCAATTTTAAAGTATGTTCTGCTTCTAATAAATAGTAACTGCATCATAGATTGGTCTTTTCACTCATAATTTTTGAACTCTTGTCCTGTTAGTCATTATGTAATTTATTGATCTAAGAAAGGTATTCATGAAAGAACATTAATTCTTTAAAAATTACTAGCATACCCACCCTTCCTACACAAATGCAGAGTAAGTCAACCAAAGACCACAGCATTATCCAGTTTAATCTCTCATTTCATCCTTCCATCTTGCCTATATTCATCTAAGTAGGATCTTTAGTTACCATCAGAAAATATCACCATAAGAAATTAAGAAGCACTTATTTCCTACACTATATGTCAAATATAGATGTCAGGATTGATAAATAGATTTATAAGCCATTTCATTTCAGGAATGCCTTACCATACTGATTAATAACTATCTCCCAGTTATATAAGGCCAGAAAGCCAAACTTAAACTCTATGCTAGTGACTGAAAATAATTATTGTTTACTGAAGGATGGGAATGAAAGATTAAAATAAGAAGAAGATACGAACAACAACTAAAGTCTGATTTAGTGTAAGATTTTCTGACTTTAATTAAAATGAAGCAAATATGATTATTAGAAAATGTATTATATGAATTAAAAAATACTTGAGAATAAGTTGCCTCATATCCTATAATAAAAATCCTAAGCATACTACTATATAAGGTGAGTATATTATGTTGCAGCTATATATAAAATTTTCAACTTGTCCTTACTAATTAACTGATAGCGGGACTTACCAGTGTGAGAAAGTTGCAACAATCTCCTTGTCTTTGTGTTTCAGCTAGTGCTTGTCACACATTTCAACATTTAGCCTAGATTGCCTATCTAATTTTTGCTTTGGGATTCTAAGAAATTTGATTTTCAGCTTTAATCTTTTAAATATATCAATTTGCTATGGCATTTTAGTTTTTTTAAAAAAATTTAAATGGGTGAGGTAGCAATTTTGTTTTTAAATTTAATCAAAATTTATTAAATGCAACAGAAATTACATCATTTATATTTTTTATAGAGTATAAGTGGTTTTATAGAGTATAAGTGGTTTTAACCACTTATACTCATGACAAAAATTTTAGATGCAAGGTTAAAAATATGTAAGGGGATATATATATATGTATATATATATATATGTTGGTTTTTGAACAGATAGATAGATAGATAGAGATATATATGGAGAATATTAAAGCAAAGAATTTTGAAAGGAATGGATTAAAAGTCGTTACACATTTTTAAACTTCTTAGCCAGGAGTTCTTAATTGGAAATGAAGGTGGGAGTGTACCTTAGGAATTTATGTGCAATATGTTAGTTTAGGTGAATTTTTTCAAATTATTCTTTTATGAGTAATTATTGTGAGGTTTTTGAGCCAATGAGTGAGCCAAAGTAGTGTGAAATCAGATCACTATATATCTCTACAGCACTGAGCTCAACCAAATTTCACTGTCTTTCCAAAGTAACAATATTATAAAAATAAAATTTAACAATCTAAATTTGTGGGAATTTGTCTCTATAAAAAATATAAAATAATCATATAAGAAATATTTTTGGTTTTTTAAAAAGGTGGGAAAAACAGTCACTTCCCTTCACGTCATTTGATGTCTCACTAAAGTGTAATCCATGAGTCGTGGTTTAAAAAACTATTTCTAGGCTGAGCAAGGTGGCTCACGCCTATAACCCCAGGACTTTGGGAGGCCAAGGCGATCGGATCACTTGAGGTCAGGAGTTTGAGACCAGCCTGGCCAACATGGTGAAACCCTGTCTCTACTAAAAATACAAAAACATGAGACAGGCATGGTGCTGTGCACCTGTAATCCCAGCTATTCAGGAGGCTGAGGCATGAAAAATGCTTAAACCATAGAGGTGGAGGTTGTAGTGAGTCGAGATCATGCCACTGCACTCCAGCCTGGGTAACAGAGCAAGATTCCATTTCAAAAAGAAAAAAAAAAAAAAAAAAAAAAAAAACAGAATAAAAACAAAAAAAAAATTCTAAAAAAAAAGAAGTTATTTATTTTCAACCATTTAGGATCAATTAAGTTTAGTAGCCTTAGCTTTTTATTTTTCCTAGAGTTGTTTTTCCATAAATTCTTTTTTTGTTTGCTTGTTTTTCCATAAATTCTTATACTTCATATCTGTTTTAAGTTTCTAGCATATTATTATTTTTTCTTTTATTATTATCCTTTAAACATTGGTTTAGAAAAGAGAATGGCAACAATTAATTAATTTGATAGGGTATTAACAGGGCATTAATTAAAATGAAGAATCCACAGCTGAGCTCTCAAGTACTTTTTTAGGAAGGCTTCATATATGTTAAAATGCAGTATATTTCTACACTTGTGCTACCTACACATGCCTTATTATTGGCTCAAAAATGGGGTGTGTACATGTGGCTTTTGTTTGTATAATATGATTTGTTTGTGTAATTTTTTTTGCTAAAAGTAATTATGTGGAATACGAACAGGAAGGAAAACCCATTATGTACACTCCATTTTTTCTTACAGTAGTTTTCAAAGATAAATTTGTCATTGAATCTGCTTTGGATTTGGGCTTCTGTATAATATTTTATTTGAAAAAAGATTCCTGTGACAAAAACTTAATTTTTTCATGTTTAATTTATATGGGTACATAGTAGGTGTATATATTTGATATAAGAGGTTTGATAGAGGCTTAAGGTGTGCAATAATCACATCAGGGTAATTGAGGAATCCATCACCTTAAGCCTTTATCATTTGTTTGTGTTGAGAACACACCAATTCCACTCTTTTAATCATTTAAAAATATGCAATATGTTATTTTTGACTGCATTCACCCTGTTGCACAAATACTAGGCCTTATTTATTCTATTTTTGCACCCATTAACCATTCCCAGTTTTTTTCCCTACTCTCTACTACTCCTTCCAACCTCTGATCACCACTGTTCTACTGTCTTTCTCCATGCATTCAATTGTTTTTAATTTTTAGCTCCCACATATGAGAACATGTGAACTTTCTCTTTGCATGCTCTTATTTCACTTAACATAATCATTTCTAGTTCCATCACTGTTGTTGCAGATAACAGGATCTCATTCTTTATGGCTCAGTCTAATGGAATCATGTTCCATTTTGTATATATATTACATTTTATTTATCCACTCACTTGTTGATAGACACTTAGGTTGATTCCAAACATTGGCTATTGTGAACAGTGATGCAATATACACAGGAGTGCAGATACCTCTCTAATATACTCCTTTCCTTTCTATTGGATATATACATGGCAGTGGGACTGCTGAATCATATGGTAGTTCTATTTTTTAATTTTTATTCTGTTCTCCATAGTGCTTTACTAATTTACACTTCCACCAACAATGTATGAGGATTCCACTTTCTCCATATCCTTGCAGCCTTTGTTATTGCCTGTCTTTTGGATAAAAGCCATTTTAACTGAAGTGAGATAATATCTCTATCTCATTGTGGTTTTGATTTGCATTTCTCTGATGATTAATGATAATGAGCATTAGTTCGTATATCTGTTGGCCATGTGTACGCTTGTGACGAAAATTTTGAAACATATCTGATTTACTACCTTTGGCATAAAATGTTGATTGTACCACTTAGTATGTTACTAATATATATCACAGGACTGACTTCTCTAAATGTTTGTTTCCTTACCTTGAAGGTAGGTATAGTAATGCCTGCCCCACTTCCTCTAGGGTTTGATGGAAAGAAAAAGCTGGTGAATTTAAGAGGATTATGTAAAACAGTAGTGAAAATAACAAATGAAAATGGAATATCGAGACTCATTACAACTGCTAATAATACTAAATATATACTTTTCAAACATTAAGGGATACTTTTGTATTTCAAGGTTCTGAGATTTTTGAGCATTGCCTGTTCATCATATTTAATATTTTTATGTTGCAATTTTTTTGAGTTCAAACTTCACCGCTAATTTCTCTGAACAGAATAGTCTGTCTTTACGCAGAAATACCCTCGTGTCCTTGTAAAAATATTCGTTTTCTGTACCATAAGACGACCTTTTAGCTATCATTTCTTAAGATATTGAGACTAAATTTTAAATTTTATTCTGATGGTAGCTGCAAAAAGCTAAAAAATATATATATATTTTTAGTTTTGTTTACTAAAATATTCTTAGAAATCATTGGTCATCCAAATAAAAATAGACGTGCATGCATATGTGGTCATGTGTATTCCTTTGAATCAGAATAAGAAAAAAAAGCTCATTATTAAGTATACAATAATTAAAATTCAGAAATTTTTTTAAAGCTTCTTTTTGTGAAGTTATATGCTGCCACAGGATAGACATCAGGTCTTTCTCTATTAAAAACTTCATAGTTCTGTTAATTATCTTAGTACAGTATCAGTAATATTTATACTTAAATTCACTGAGGAAAGGTAATGTTTGTAAAGGGAGACTATTTCCGAATATTTGTGTAAATTTCTGTAATTTTGCCTACTAATAGACAAGCTGTGGAAAAACTAATGGTTTATTTCTGCCACTAAGAGACAATTTTTTTTAAATGTATTATTTGGCAGGAATATGTGTTAGTCCCAAAGAGCAGAAGAGGGTATGTATTAGAAATGAATTTATTTACAATCCACAGAAAACGTTTCTACTATGTGATTTTGTCTATTGAAATGTTCCATAAGAAGTGCATGTTTGGGTAATATGTATGACTAAGAGTTAATCATATATTCTAAAGCAAAATATAAACCAATGAAAATAATACAAAATACATTATAAAATAAAGGCTTAGTGACAATATGATTTATTTAAATGGCACCTTGGAACCTGATATTCTCTTAAACATAGAAAGCAGTGTCTGCCTCATAATAGATTTATTTAGATGAGTTAGTGGGTGCAGCGCACCAGCATGGCACGTTTATACACATGTAACTAACCTGCACATTGTGCACATGTACCCTAAAACTTAAAGTATAATAATAATAATTAAAAACATTAAAAAAAGAAATTATATTGTTGTAACCACTAAAATGTTGTTCATGAAATTACAGAGAAATTTAATTTCAAATTCAGATTTTCATGATTTTGTCCAGTAGACCTATGTAATCTTAAAGACACAAAAACAAGTTAAGACCACTACAGCTATTTAAAAACAACGAATACAACCACAGTCTATTAAGCAAAATGGTCATGTCAATTCTTTCTAGAGTTTTCCATCCTCATACCATGACTCAATAGATCTCTTAGGTCTAATTCAAAAAGAGAAAATTCAAACAAGCTAAAGTTTCTTGATTCTTGAATTACTTTCTGGATTTGTTTTCAGAATAAAGTACTCACAAAGCATTATATTCAAATGTTTTCAGTGATGTTAACTGGTAATTATTACTTGCTGGATAAATAGCTGAACAAAATGTTAGTATTTTTAATCTTAAGTGGACAACTCGAGGAAGAAGAGACCCAGAATTTTTCAAGCCCGGTATGGTGGCTAACACCTGTAATCCCAACACCGTGGGAGGCTGAGGCAGGTGGATCACCTGAGGTCAGGCATTCGAGACCAGCCTGGCCAACATGGCAAAACCCCCTTTCTACTCAAAATACAAAAATTAGTTGGGTGTGGTGGCACATGCCTGTAATCCCAGCTACCTGGGAGGCTGAGACAGGAGAATCGCTTGAACCTGGGAGGTGGAGGTTGCAGTGAGCCGAGATCATGCCACTGAACTCCAGCCTGTGCAACAGAGTGAAACTCTGTCCCTCCACCAAAAAAATAATAATTCTTCAGTGTTTCTTGAGTTAGAAAGAACAGCTATAGTGTTGTACTTTCTTTCTATAAAATAACAATATATGCCCTCATTTGGAAAAATATAATTTAAGATAAATAAAAGTACTAAAAGTATTTTTGTAACAGATAGCACAAATTTATTATAATTTTCGAGATGAAAATAAATTGAATAAGGCAAGGAAAACACAAACTCGTCTGCTTTATGTTCCCCACATAAAGAAGACTCAATATACAATGATTAATACCAGAAGACTCAATATGCAATAATTAAAATTAGTAAATCATCAGGATGATTAATTGCATTAATCATGAACTAGCTTTAAATAGTTAGCCCAATAAATAAATCTTCCCTAACTCCCAAGTGAATTACACAGCAATTTCAAGAGTTTATCTTATACATTAATGGAGATTCACCTACACTAAGACCTGAGACTTACAGGTCCAATGGGAAAAGATATATTTATAGCAACAAAATAAACTTATCCAAAGATATTACATAAAGTAACATAAACAAAATGCATACATATTTAAGATTTTATTTTGTACCATAGTCAATAGTCATTGAAAAAAGTATTTAAAATATTGCTTTTATGCTAAAATTATATTTCTAGTGGTTCCTGATATTGCCATAGGCTTACAAATAGCAAAACAGATAGTAGCTCATTTATATACAACCTATTATGTACCTTTTCCCTAAATTTCTATCAAACACAACATAGAACACCATGGAATGGAGGAAAATGTTCCTAGTTTTCCTGCAGGATAGTCCACTTTGGTCAAACATGTATCTTCCCTAAATGATGTCTACTCAGAGCCTCATTTGTCTTCTCTAGTCATCTGTAATATATTATTAGAAGTCATTTGGGTAGATTTAAATCTGTACATAAAAGAGTAAGCAGTAGGAAAACAAATGAAAGGTCAATAAAACAATACCACAAATATGACTTTCATTCATTCATTCCAAAGATATTTATTTATAATTTTCCTTGGAGAAAAACAGCCAGATGAATAGCACAAAGGCCATAGTTGCAGCTTAGAACACAGTCTCAGGAGTGACAGTCATTAATCATATGAGGAAAATTGGCATATGATGCTAAGTGTGGTAAAGATATATTTTTAAAAGCCACAGTTGCTCACGCCTGTAATCCCAGCACATTGGGAGGCCGAGGTGGGTGGATCATCTGAGGTCAGGAATTCAAGAACAGCCTGACTAACATGATGAAACCCCATCTCTACTAAAAATACAAAAAAAAAAAAAAAAAAATAGCCAAGCGTGGTGGTGCATGCTTGGAGTCCCAGCTATGCCAGATGGATGCTGACGCAGGAGAATCGCTTGAACCCAGGAGGCGGAGGTTGCAGTGAGCCAAGATTTTGCCACTGTACTCCAGCCTGGAAAAAAAAAAAAAAAAGCCACAATCCACTGTCCCGCAGTCGAGTCTTTGACTTGAGTTTGAATAGGAGTTGGAAAGAGGTCAGAGGGAACAGCACGTTCAAAATCCTGAGATATCAAGTAGCATAGAATGACTGAAGCACTGGAAACACTTGTTTGTCTAGAAAAAATAAATATAGATAAAGAGGAGTCTGCAGAGTTAGGCAGTGGGTGTGTCATGTAAGGTTTTGTGGGACTTTGGCCTTTGTTTTAAAAACCATGGAATGCTAATGACAGGAATTAAGCACACTGGGAGGTCGAAGATGACATGGTCAGATTTACACTTTGCAAATAACAGTTTAGATGTGGGTGCAGGGACATTAGTTCATAGTTATTATTAGTTTTCTAGATGAGAGATGATATTAGTTTGGAAGATGTTGTTAACTGAAAAAATAGTGCTGAACAGTAGATGGAATGTAGAGAAATTAAAGACTTAAAGAACTAAATCTTAAAATAATTTTTTGTAAGTTAAATATAAAACATTGTTTAGCAAGATATATCAAGAAGGACTTGATTTCTACCACAAGCAAATAAACTGGGTCACCTAAAGAGAAGACATGAAGGAAGACACAGTCAGGCAAGGAAAAATAATAAATCTGTCTTTCATTTTCGTATTAAAAAAGAGATGCCTGTAGTCATCCAATACAAATTCAAATAGTCAACTAAATATGTAGACTGTGAGGTAATAAAGTGTTGACTCTTGCTTATTTCTCTTTTGTGAACTGTAAAGAGAAGTATTGACTTGCTGGTCCCCTCAAAAATCTATAAGCTACATTCCAATAGTGTGAGGCAGGTTCTTCTAATCACAGAGTGAGGAATCAGCCATTTTGATTTGTTAAGAGACAGCAACTTCCTGAGATGTTTATTTATTTTTGAGCACATAACGTGGTGGTTGGCATTTACTCTTGGTTTTCATAATTCATGTTGATTTTAAAAGTAGTAAGGAATCTGATTAAAAAACCTACATGTTGTTTTTCAAGCTTGACCATAGGGAATTACAAAGGCTTTACCTGGCAGTCCTCATGGGGAAAAGCTGCCCTCTTCACATCAGACTTGGTGCACAGCACTGAGTGTACCCCAGGCTTTGAAGGGAGCTGCAGTCAAGGACTGGGGCCCTTCTGGCTAGTCATGAGCTTGTGCATGTTTGCATTCATATTTGCATTCCTGGCCCAGAGTCCTTCATTCTGCTGGCAGAAGTCTTCAGGCACCTCTGCCAAGGCCTGCTTATGGAGATAGGAGGGGGAAAACATGAGGACACTTTTCCCCACTGTGACTCAGTACCCAGTACCTCTGCTATCCCAGCCCTAACCCCAGTCTTTCATCCCACTCCAGGGTCCATAAAACTGATGGAGCCTTTTGTTTGGGTTTCCCTGAATATTAAGATGACCCATGTATCTATACTGATCCATGTGACCCTCAACTAGAGTCGAGTTCCCTGGGGGGAAATAAAACAGGGAGGGATCAGCACTTTCTCCAGTTTTATCCTTTTGCTTACACCTTCATAGTAACGTATCAAAGGCTTCACTGTTACTTTTATTTTGGTTCCTTATAGCTTTAGTAGACTACTCTGATATCTGGCAACTCGGCCCTTTCTCTAGTTCAGCTGAGTTGCTCGCAAATAACTTACCTATACTTTTTACCATAGTTTATGTTTTATAATCAGATTAAGTTAAATATGAATTTGTAACTCCATAGTACATGGAATCATAAATGAGAAGGAAGACAGTCCAATATACAATCTATACTGAATTTTTAAAGCAACTGTTTTGTTTTGGAAGACAGCTGCATTTGGGGGCAATATATGTTATTCTACATGAAAATTAAGATCCTATATGTACATTAAAATTGACACTTAAGGAAAAGTATTTATGAATTATTTTCTTGTAAAATTTCTTTGGGCACCAAGTTTACTGTGCATTCTAGATTGAGCTTTATTCATTTTCAGGTAGTTGGTTGTTTATTCAGTGAAATTTTATTTTACTTGTATGACTTAACTCTGTTAAAGACATTTATTCTGAAAATTAGAGAATCACAGGAAAGCCTGTTGTTTAAAATGGATGATTGATCCTGGCTCATCATTTTCCTTGTCAACATTTGGCTTTTCCTCTCTGGCTTCTTGGAAAATCTAATTTGTGTGCTGCATGGGATTGGTTCTATTACAATATTTTTACTGAGTTTCTCTTTTTCAGTTATCATTTGTCTTGTAGTTGTTATGATTGCAGTTTTCACTGATTTTTTTCCTCTTCTTTGTGTTCTGTTATGTATTTCCCCAAGGCAGTGAGTCATTCTGGGAGTGTTAGGTAATTTGTTTTGTTCAGCAGATTTCTTGCCATGCATGTACTGTGCATTTAGCTTCCTTCAACTCTCCTTCCAAATGTTGCTTTCTTCTAGTAATCACTTTCACCTTTTTCAGTTCATTGCATGATGTAGGAGGCTGAGATTTTTGCTGTGTTTTATTATTGTTATGTTCCAAGTGTATAGGAGAGTCCTTAACACATACTATGTGTTCATTAAATACATTTTGAGGTAATGAATTAAAGTAGGACTCGTCTTCCAATTTTCAATGTTGTCTTGTTAGGGGTGGCTTGTCAAGATTCTTACAATTACTTTAGTCCAAACTTTTAAATGTTTCCATTTGTGCTACTGCCCATTGTAGTTTTCTAAATGCACTAAAGCTTTTTGTGCTTTTGTTTTTAAATCATATGGAAGAAATTTCAATTATGATTTTAATTTTGAATTAACGAGTTGAAATTAAAAACGTAGTAGAATCAAATAGCTTTTTACATAATATCATGAAATATACAGAATAATTTCTAACATGGTTCATTGCTCCATAATTTTGTTCCTTCTCTAAAGCCTGATTATTTCAATAGAATTGAAAATCTCACACAAAATACCACTGAAATAGCAAAAACACCCATTCATTTACAAAGGATCAACCAAACAAAATAAATTTTCCTTTAAAAGTTGGCTAAAACGTGTAAATGTATGAATTCATATATGGATATAAACAAAATATACCTTTTAAATATATTCTATAGTTTAGATAAATATGATGTATTTATATGCGTATCCTAAAAAAGAAAGAGTTGCCTCTTTTATTAATATTTGTTGCTATAAACCAGGAGAAACATTGTTCTTTTCACCTTTGATTTTTTTAAGTTGAAATGGCAGAACCAGATACACTCTCTATTTGAACTGCTATGTGTCAGTCTGGCCAGGACTTAATCCTCTGTGCTCTATAGTTGGAACCAATTAATGGATAGCCATAAAGGTGTTTGTTGGGTAAATTGCCCTTAACGATTGATAATGCTTTCACAGGTTAAACACAAGAGACCTCAACTACAAAGATTTGTTATAAAAATAGGGTAACCAGATTCCACGAAACATGTGATTATTTTAAAACCAATAGAAATGATCAAAATGTTAATTCACAGGACTGATATTGGGTAGAGAGACACAGATGAAGAAAAATAAATAAATAAATAAATAAATAAACTATATGGTATGCTGGATAATGAGAAATACTCTGGAGAGAAATTTAAGGAATAGTTTGAGTTCCTGAGTTTGAAAGTGTATGTTTGGAGGAAAAGTTGATTCTTAAAAGGGTGGTCGTTGAAAATTTCGATGTAAGGGTCCTTTCTGAGCAAAAAATTAAAGAAAGTGAATGAATTACTCATGTATACTTCTGGAAATATAATGTTATAAGCAGGGCTGGCTACATAATTTGTTGAGTGAGTGAAAAATGAAAGTGGGGGGGCTCTTGTTCAAAAGTAGGAAAGTAACTTCTTCCTTTCTCCCATATCTGTCACAACTTGTCATGAATTTTTAAAATTTACTATTTAATTACAGAATTCTATGGGCATGGGATGCTTATTGGGCAAGTATAGACCTTCAGGGGTCACTGGGGCCCAGCTTCATGACTTTGTGCACTCACTCTCCCCGTTTCTGCATCCAAGTCCCCACTGGAAGCAAAGAATTACAGTGACACTGAGTGTGGGCAGAAAAGTGTATCGTTGAGAATTTACTTGCACGAAAAAGGGAGAAGGTAGGATCTCATGTAAACCAAGACCCCCAGCCCATAACATTGCTCCATTTTCCTACTGGACTTTTTATAAAACACAAATTCAAAGACAAAATTACTGACAATTTCAATAGAGGGACTATAAAGCATTAAACTAAAAGTCGGTAGTCCTCTTTTAAATGTGGGTTTGTGTGGGATTGCCCTGGATACCAACCCATTAATCTATCCTTGGTTACAGAAAGAGAAAATATCAAGTACAAAAGCCAGGAACTGGGACTGTGCTAGAGTTTTTAGACCCACACACAACAGAGTGAGCAAAATAGAGTAATAAGAAGAAACAAGTTAGAAGTCTAAGACAGATTCAGATTGTTTAAGGCTTTATTGGAAAGTTTTCGAATTTTATTTTCAGTGAAACAGACAGTGAGAAGTGATGACATTTTGAACCAGAGTTGTAGTGGTGAGAAATGATTTGCTTCTAGATATATTTTGAAAGTAGATATCACAGGTTTTCCTAACAAATTGCATGTGGCATATAAAAGAAAGAGGGGAGCCACGGATAATTCCAAGGTTTTTGTCTTCAGGGATATTAAAGTTAACATTCACAGAGTTTAAGAAGATCATAGTAGACAGGTCATAGGGAATGTGAATCAGGTATTTGGTTTTAGACAGGTAAACATTTGAAACTTTTTAGTAATGGAAGTAGAGATAAATATTTGCTGAACTGATAATTCATCAACTATTGAACTTGAGTCTGGAGATGAAGAGAAATGTCTGCATTGGAAATATGAAGTTGGGAGCCATCAACATTGTGCATAGATGATATTTAAAGCTATGCTTGAATGACTTTATCAGGCAAATAAGTGAATTTAGAGGAGAGATACAGGGATTGAACCCTGGGATACCACAATAATATATAGGAACCTGAGAAGGCACAAGGAAGGATACTAAAAGGGCAAGTGAGATAAGCGGAATAAAACACAATATGGAAGCCAGCTGAAGAAAGTATTTCTAGAATAAAAGAGTAGTCAGCTGTGTCAAATACTACTGATAAATACTTCAAGGACT
Source organism: Homo sapiens (assembly GCF_000001405.40). Taxonomy (NCBI): domain Eukaryota; kingdom Metazoa; phylum Chordata; class Mammalia; order Primates; family Hominidae; genus Homo; species Homo sapiens. The sequence goes on along the minus strand of NW_003315915.1, from coordinate 220,779 downwards.
TACACTTGACCATCAGACATAGCAACATTGATGATATTAATAAACTTAGCAAGAGCATTTTCTGTGGGACAGTTAGGGGAAAGCACTAACGAGAGGCCCAGGAAAAAAAGAAAAAGAAAAATGGGAGAGAGTTGAGTTTAGACTACTTTATATAGAGAAGTTTTGTTGTGAGCAGAAACAGAATTGGGGAGTAGCTAGCAGAGAATGCTGGTCATATCACATGTTCCCATTTAGCAAATCTTAATGTTGACTCATAACACCTATGGGCAGAGGACATGCCTTACACTTCTTACATATCACTTGGCACTGATTACAAATAGCAACTTAAGTGAGATGTACAGTATTGGGCCTATAGAGATGAAGATTGGCAAGTGAAGTTTCAGGTGCCCAACTGTTTAATTTTACTGTGATAATTTTTATTGTATTTTATTCACTTATTAAAACTGTTTTCCAAATGGAGTTGGGTTTACGAGTATAATTTCATGTGTCACAGAAATTATATTTGTATATAGCAATGCGTAAACACCAATGATACTAGCTGTGCTTTTATTAGCCTTTTGTAATGTGGTATATTATAGAGATAATACATAAAATTATGTGGGTAACATCATTCAGGTGTGTAAATTAACAAGGGGTAAGTGATGCTTTTACAAGCCAGCCACCCTCCTCCTCCAGGAAAACATCAACAATTAAGACAAAAAAAAAATGGCCAGAAATTTGTAGAAATCAAGGATTTCCAGCAGTAGTCCTGTGGTTCAAAGTCTCTAGTTTTAGGACACAAAGAATACTGCAAAGAAAATTCCACCTAGGTGCTCAGTTAATCTGTGCCAAAATGGCAGGATATCTGATATGGTGAGCATAGAGGACGTGTTTTAGAGCAGTACAATTGGACCACAATGACTGCAAGAACCAATGCTTTTCATATTGTTTCAGTGTGGTTTTGGAGACTGAGTGAGAAACAATATTTTGCCATTGACATCGAAACCTATAATTTAACAGACCAGAAAAAGGTCTGAGCTGATATGCAAACCGTGGAAAATTAATAGTTCATTTTAATCAGTTTGTGAAGTTTCCTCAAGCTACATTGAAGATGACGTTTGAATGGTTCCATTTTACTAATGTTGAATGTTAGAATACATTTATATTAACAACAAATAGACAAGAATTAAGTCATACTAGCATATTCAAGTTACTTGTGTATCCTAGCAACACAAACTAATCTAGGCAGTAATGATAAATAACCAAACTATAAGGAACAAACCAGTTATTTTCTCTGTGCCTCAGTTTCCATATTTGAAAAATAATTGATAATTTCTAAAATGCTTTTTACCTCATATATTATAATTCACAAGATTACTCTCAAGATGATGGATTTGTGTAATGCAAGATATATTTTGAATAATAGAAGATGACTAGATTTGGTATATAATCCAATAAATTGGTAGGACAAAGGAAGTGTTACAGAGAAATTTTTGAAATTTAAAGGTTTGTAAAATGAGAGCAGATATAAGTAAAGAGAGGCAGACAGGCAGACAGACAGACACTAGTTATTCCAGAGAGCACTGTGGGGTCTGAAACTGAAAAATAAACAATTGTCAAAAGAGCTAAACCTAGAAACTACATTTGGTCTAATTGTTTTATAGAGAATAAAGGGGACAAAGAAATGTATCGGCAGCAGGCAGCTACTTCCACAAAAAATTGTAATATTGAGGAAGAATGAGGATTTCAAATGAAAATAAGTAGTTCCAACTCATCATGTTCCATTTTATTTATAATGTAAAGTGTTCATTACAAGTAAACATGCTGAATGTTCTTCAAACCTGCCTAATTTACCCTTAATTAATATACCAAAAAAGAAACCAAGGTGAGAGAAAGGGTGTGATTTATCATGTATTCTGCTTATAGAGCTACCTGGCAAGGATATTTGGGAGGGATTTAAAACTCCTTTCCATCATATTTCAATTAAGAGAGAAGCTTCTGGAGTGACACTTTATTTCCTCACTTAGTTTTTACCTGAGAAGGAATTCTAACTGAAAAGTCTAGGAGAAAAACTAGGCATGTGTAACTCGGAGTAAGTCTTCCCAGCAAAAGCCTGCATTCCCATCACTTCTTAGCCATTTTCAGACTTAACAGTACAGGTACTGTCTTTGTGGCTAGACTTAAAATTGAACATTTGCCTTTGAGTAACTAAAGTTTGCAATATTTATGAAAACTAAGGCTTAATTATAAAAAATTATTAATAAAGAAAGCAATACTTTTACCTCCATTTGTCTAACTTTCATAATTATCTGTCCTTTGTTCTAATACCAGGCAGAGAAAAGGTATGTTACTTATCAGCAGCCGTGCTAAAACTTCAAACTGTGCCTTCCCCTTTCTTGATTCACGATCTAGTGTGGAGTGAGCTCTTCTGGACTAATAACTTCAGTGGGCCCAATGGGTCTCAATTCCCCATGAAGGTCTCTGCAGGTTTTGCTTCAAAGAAGAAAATGCATACTTAACCCTGTGTTTAACCATCTTTTAATCCCACTCAGTAGGCTCAATTGTACATTGCTTTCTCCCTCAGCTCACCAGCATGAAACAAAACAGAAGCTGTAGAGAAAGGATATCTAAAAGAGCATTGTTACTTGTCTGGCCTTCTGGTTATCTCAGTCATCTATGATATCTTTCTTCACCTAGTATTAATAAACCTTAATTTCTGCTTCAATTGCAGTGGCCCAAGGGATTATAATAGACCCAGCCTGAGGATGTTTGTTTTTAAAGGGGCAGTTTGGGATAAAAATTTATTTCAGAGGGGTATATAACTTAGTCTGGGAGTGTCAAGGGAAGATTATTTAATGATAATAATACATAAATGAAGGCCTGATTTATAAAGAAGAAATATAAGAGTTGTTTTTCCAGGAAGAAATGATGAGGTGGAGTCAAGAGATGGTATGATCAAGGAGCATAGAGAAGTCTACAATAGCCAAAGTCCCGAGAAATACAAGAAGCATGGCACAATGTGAGGCTTGAGAGGTTATAAAGCAAATGCTGGCTAACCATGTAGAAGATGAGGGGTGTAGTTGCTGGTGAAAGTTGCAAATGTGTTTGAAATCACTCTTGGTTTAGTGGGAAAAAGGTTAATAGATAAACCACTATAAATACACTTTGAAGGACAGGTACAATTTCTAAAAATATCTATACCCTTTTCTTCTTGGTTTCCAGTGCTCTGTAATTTTAAATAAGCTTCTTTGTCTAGATTGATAGCGTATCCTCATCTATAAAACGCTGATCTACGACAGAGACTTCTAATCTTTAAATAATGAGTTTTAGTGACCCGTGAATCTAATTTGAAAGGTGCTATAGCATCGCAACACAGTACAGTATTATGATCTAGTTTAAAATATTCAGGATCATTATGCCTTTAAAACATTCTTAAGAATTAGGTTGATTATACATGAGCATTTTCTGAGTGAGTCCAAGAATGTAAATGATTGCTTAGATGGTTAACTCTAGCTTGAATTATTTCAGCAAAGATGGACCAAAGGCAAGTGATGAAAAGTTTAAAATTTATCAACTTCTATAGGCAGCTGTCAGTTCAGTTTATATTCTTTGGATAATGGACATTTTAAGTGAATTATGTTGCTTTAACATTCCAAGCTGATTTGGAATATTTCCAGAACTTCTCCATTATTCTAAACATATAGTGCAACCCTCTCTAGAATTCAAGAGCTGTCACCTTTATATTTCCAGTCAGAAATGAATTGCAGAGTAGCATAGTCCTACATCATAGAAATATTTGAATTTCATTTCCCTAAAGGACAAATGTTTCACCAATTGAATATGACAAATAATGAGATTCTGGTTTTTAATGTACATATGCATGTAATTTCTATTGCCTTATGAGTATCTTTCAAATCGACTCTGATCCTTATTGCTAACAAGGTTGCATACTTTCATTTAATAAATACAATGATAAATATATAGCCAACAATATCACCAGTCTTATTTCTTCATTTTTCAGTACTTTCTGTGGATGAAGACTAAGTTTTGCATTATGGTCTGCATTAAAGTGAATTATGGTACATCTTTCAGCATTAGCATATAGTCTTCATTTTTGAGTCTTAGTATCAAAATATAAATGCCTCAGAGACTTTTCTTGAACCAGTACCTTCTATCTTCCATTGTTATTCCCTTGTACCCACAAATAAATCCTTGTGCCGAAATAGCATTGGCACAAGCTAAGAAATAACTATTTTATACCTATCTTCAGCAGAAAAACACCATTTACAATTACTTATATACTAAAATACATGTTATTATTTTTCAAAGTGGCAACTTTGGCAAGGATTTGCAACTTGCATATCCTAATCATTTGCAACTTGCATATCCTAATCATCTTAATTGAGTGTTAATATCTATACTGATTGATTCCTCAAATAACTGTTCCATGGCTTTTTTTTTTTTTTAAGAGCAAGCCAGGGAACAGACTAACTTCACTCTGTGATACAATATCTCTCTAGAACTCTACTTAGTAACAGAGATTAGTCATCACTAATACGTGGGCTATAATAACACTTGTGATCATTATCCTTCATCTATTAGCCCCCACAGCTCACTTCCAGATACCAGTAAATATAGCTCTAGCCATTAAAGTCAACACTCAACCTTCTCTTCCCACACATCTGTGATCCATGCCTCTCAGATTTTTCTCCTGATGCTGCTTAATGGAATGCATGTGCCTTTGCAGCACATACCTAATAAAAGTGCTTTAGTGACAAAATGCTTTCAACCAGGGTTACTACTTTGCTGAAAGGACACAAAGAAAAGATCTTTTAAATATGAAAAATAGGTCACTTCTCCTTCCAGATCACTTCAGTGGTCCCATGAGAAATGCCACATGAGCACATTTGTTGTTCTGCTAATATTAACTTTTGGCTATAATTAGGTAGTTCTCCTCAGTTTTCCTGAATACTCTATATGTACTCCCACCTACAGAATCTAGTTTTGACTGAGTGCTCCATTCTTAACAAGTTTGAGTGAACTCTTTGTAATGTCTCCCAGCTCAACTCTTTAAGACCTAATTTAGAAATCAGTATTTTACAGACTTTTAAAAAGTTCTCTCACACAATTTTGCTTTACTGACATTTACAAGTCATTTGAGTATATATCACGAATAATTACATGCTATTAATTTTGGAGTATTTACTCACTTGTTTGAAGTTTGCTAATTGGTTTGCATGATTAGTCCATGGGTGTTTTGAAAAAGAAAACAAGCCAAGTTTATAACTGTTCAGTACTTTAATATTTCAGTCAGTTAAACTTCACTCATGACCTGTTCAGTATTTAATCAGGTCATGATGTTTTAAGGTTTCTAAACAATACTAACAGAGGAACCACATGGCTTGTGAGGGTTAGTTTTTTGAAAAGCATTCATTTACATTTTCAGCCTCAGATGTAATTTATCTAAGCAATGTTGGAATAAGCCATTGTGGTTTCTTTTTATATGTAGAGAAAGGTGCAAGTAGTGATTAATGCTATTTATATGGTTCAGTCCATATTTAAAAAGTAACTGGTCAGAAGCCTTTCCAGAGATAAATATTAATTTTGAAAACAAGTTGAGCCTGTAAAAAGTGTTATTTTCCTATTGTGGACTTATGTAATTTTTTTTTAGAAGTGCATAAAACACACACAGGGGCATGTACTATATGTAATGATTAATTATTGCATAGCTTCTCTAACCGTAATAACATTCAGATAGTTTACACACAAAAAAATCAGTACTATATTTGGAGAAAAACAGTGGTTTTGTTTAAATGTTGTAAAACATAAGGAACTATGAATTTGGCATTTTCTGTCTTACACGATTTAACCCATTTATGCCTGAGGTTGCAGTTTTTTGAATTTTTGCAATTAGACCTTGGTGATGACCTTGAGCAGTAGGATATAAATAACTCCCACATGCTTAGCGTTCCAATAATGGAACACTAGACTAAATGGAAGACTCTTTTTAGTAATATCTGACAAAGTAAAGTCAGAAATTAAAATTTTAGCCTTAAAAGGAACCTCTAGAAGTCACTTACATCATATCCAAAGTTTAATTTGTGACGTTAATGCAGGTAATATGAGAAAGTGACAGAAGACATAACAGAGTATTAGCCTTGTAGGGGCAAAAGGGAATGTTCCCCTTTGCCCTCTGAAGGATCTCTGAAATTCAGCTGGCAAAAGGCAGATTAATTGGAGAAAAGGCATTAAATTTATTTAAAATGTATCCATAGGAGCCTTCGAAATCAAGACCCAAAAATACAGGGGAAATTGACCATTTTTTTTATTAGTTTCAACAAAGTATGGAAAGCCATGTAGAAATATGACTGGACAAACTGAGTATGGTATAATGTTAATAGACTGAGTTGGGAAACCCAGCAAAGCCTGTGTGTCTACATTCTTCTTGACCTCTCTAAGCACTTCCTTCTGGATGTGAGGCAAGGTCCTCTCTGGAATAGGAATCTTATGAACTGTGGTCAAACAAGGTTGGTCAGATAATTTGTTTATGGTCAGTTTTTAAGCAGAATTGGATGGAAAGTTGGAATGAAATTTTTAGGCTTTATGGCTGGCTTTGGGGTAAAAGGGCTCCAGTTCCTATGACCCACACTGGGGAAGAGGGACTCTAGATTCTATGGCTGGCCTCTAGGGAGAATGGAACTGGAAGAGAGGAGGGCACAGAGGGCAGAGAAAATTTTGCTTCTGAGGCCTTCATTTGTGGGTATTGTTTTCTGAGCCTCAACATCCTTCAAATGACTAGGGAGGCAATGAGAGAAAAAGTGAAGACAAAAAGTCTCGCATGATACCCCAAATGAAGACAGAATAAAGGGTTAGCAATTAAGGAAAACATCAGCATACCATAATGTAGGAAAAGAAAAAAAAAACAAGTTTTTTTATGAAACCATACACACAAATAATAATAAATATTGTCAAAAATAGAATACGCTGAAATAAAAATCAACAAGAGGTATGTGACAGTACACAAAATACCTGCAACTCTATTGCATTTCATGAAAGTTTCCATTTGATTTCACAATTCAAATATTTGTATGATCATGCACACACACACACACACACTATAACAAACTTTGTAGGAAAAATCAGAGACTGCTGTTATTAATTTTGTATTTGCAAATTGGCATAGCAGTAATGACAATTTAAAATTAAAGTGGGAGATTTGAATGGATGTATTTTGAAATCATAACTTTGTATGGAAAAGATTTAGGACATATATATATATGTATATATACACACACACACATATATATACGTCCTAAATCTTATATATATATGTAAACAATGACATAATATATGATGATAACTTTTAAGAAAACTTGATAGCACACCAGTAAGGAACTTGGTAAAGATTTAGGACATACAAACATACATATATGTCCTAATCTTATATATAAAATCTCCACACGTACAAGTGGTTTTTTCTTAAGCTTAAATATAAACTAATAAGTATACATACCCTTCTCTGGAGAAAGAAAATCATTTAATTTTTCTGGATAAAGATAATATGGTAAAAATGAACATAAACATATATTACATAATCAGTTGTAAGTCCTTTTCAGCTTTTATGAACAACAGTCTCAGCTTGAGGCTTAGAAGAATAGTCCAGTAGACAATCCTTGAAAGAAGCTGTTTCCTTAATTGACACCAGATGGCACTATGGAACTTTTCCATTTCTTTAAGAGGGCAAGCAGAAATAAAAAAGATGAAGTACAGTGAAAAACTATTCTTGAGTAAAATGTGTCTCTCATTTCTGTTTTGTGAGGTCAACTGGCATTATTGTTTAATACACAGCACAGAAATATGCCGGTCTAACTTCTTTACAACTCTATAAAGTATAGGTAAATATATAAACAAGAATCAGTTTCCCTGAGAATTCCAGAAAACCTCAAGTTTAACGCATTTTCTGGAAAATAATTTACTATCTTATGCATTTTATGCCCACTTTATGGACCTTGTAGAGAGTCTTCAGCTTACTACAATCACAACAATTTATTAGTGCACACTTTCCTAGTACCATGGTTATGTAGCTCAACTGGCCCTAACTTAGCTACTTACTAATTTTCAGGTTTCATCAGTATATTTCAGTTATCACTTCCTTCCTACATACAAAGGATATAAAGACAAACTGAGACCTCTTACAGTTTATTCTTACTACTAATTCCATTTCTTTCTCAAATATATACATACCATATTTTTTTTAAGACTTAAGGGTCAGGCTATGTTGCCCAGACTGGCCTTGAACTCCTAAACTCATGCAGTCCTCCCACCTCAGCCTCTCGAGTAGCCAAGACCACAGACACCTGCCACCACATCTGGTTCATCTTACTTTTTTAAATAAATGTTTATATTTTGTGTTTTTAATTGTTTTTCTATAGTGAAGGTGATATGAATATACAGTATTTGGCTTTCAATTGTTTTGGAGAAAGCACTCCAATTTATGATATTTTACAAATAATAAAACATGATTCATATTTTTTAAAGTACAGTTTTCTTCTGTCCTCATTCCCTTTTTTTTGTTTTACAGCTTCTCTTTGGTGCCTTTTTTCAAACAGAAATGACTCAGGGCATAGTGGTACAAAAATCCATTTAGAGTGCTATGCCATGCATTTAAATATTAATATTTAATTAGAAACATCCATTCTGTGCAAAGCCAAATAATATACAACATTTTCATTTTGCTGGAATGCAATTTTGTCATTATATTTATGCAAAAGTTTATCAACTTCAGGGCTTCAAGAAGTTAAAAATGACTATATTTTTAAGACATAGTTTAGCAAAGTTTAAGGCTCAAATATAATCTTTAACATAAACTTTTAGAATTACTTTCGTATGTTTTACAAAGAAATAACATTATGTATTGCTTCAGAAAATGCCATGAATTTTATAGGACCATTCTAAGCCACTATTTAAAGTTAAATAGTTAAAACAATATTACCATTATCAAATGTATAATTATAAATTAACCAAATAAAAGATGTCAAATATGTATCCATTCACATGTAATAGAAATCTGAGCAACACATAAATATATTTGATTTTTACTTGTGTGACTTAAAAAGTAAAAGCCATAAACATCTGTGAACCATAAGGAGACACTATAAAATTGTTTCCTTTTCTTTTGACATTCTACAAATAGGGTCCCATAATGAGACCTCTTTAACATAAAGGAAAAAAGGCATATGCTTATATGGATGTTTTGGTAGAATTGACTAAAGGTTACACAAGAAATAAGTTAATGGACTGAAGTTTATAGCTGTGTGTATAACTGTCAAATCTTTCTGTAAATTACCTTTCTCTTCTGCTGGCTGGAATGCAAAAATTCAACAAACTGTTAATAAAAATGGAAAGGTCATATGTAAATATCAAAGATCTTGAAAATGAACCAGAAAAGATGATAGTTTGCAGAAAAATATCATTTCATATTCTGTTTCATTGTATTCTAAATGTGATTTGGGTTGCAAAGTGTGTTTCCAAGAAAAAAAAAACAGTAGGAAAAGTTTCTATTAAAAAGAGATTAGTTTCCCATCTGAAAAGAGAACTTTGAGTACTAATTGGCTGTTGGTTTCTGCAACTTCAGAAGAATTGCAAACAATTAAACGCTTTGATATTTTCTCTGATTAAGCAAACTCTTAATAGGGCCTCATGGAATTATTCCAGAAACACTGAGAGAACACAGTCTGTGTAGGGTGTGTGCATGCGATGGGAGGTTCATCGCTTAGGGCCTAGGAGGCTCATCTTTTGTCTGCAGCCAGACATCTCATGATCTAGCATTCTCTGGTCTGTTCTCAACCTTGCAAAGAATTACGGGCTAAAAGAATCGGAGCAACAGAAACTACTCTTTTCTGCCCTATTCCATTTATCCAAAGACTGAATAGTTCTTTTAAAGCCAATGTGAAAGTTGTAGTCTCATAAAGGGAATGCATTTAGCCTAGGGAGAAGCTGAGTTTGAACGCATGCTGCTTTTGATGAAGCCATGCATGATGCCTCTTGATCTTCTATGTCTGTATTTTAAGGGCTGTTTTGATGCCTGAAAGAATGGTTGGCAGAAGGGCAAAGTATGGGTTTGGTCCCCTGAATAGGTTCTTGAAAGAGCAATTTCCTTCCCCCTTTCTTGCTATAGTTTCTTTTAGCAGTGTCTAAACTCTTATATTATTGAACAGAATCAACACAGGAATCAAGTCTTACTACAAATATGAAGTGTAAGTAGCATTGATTGCAAGTAATATATTTTAGCTGAGGGGATAATGAATATGCATGATTTAGGTGGATACACAGTTCTCCTTAAGTGTTCTCAATTATTCACCAACAGAAATGAGTGAATGGATGAAATTATTTAGGCCAATGTTTCATGTTTTTTTTTAATTATCTAAATTGTTCACCAAAAACAGTGAGTGAATGGATGAGTTTATTTCACTGGAAACATAGTGATTAAGAAAAGATTTCCAAATAACTTTGTAATGTTCACATAGTATTTAAATAAATATGCTTCTTTTATTAACTAAAAGCTTGGAAATGTGCTTAACAACAAGAGAAAAACCCAAAAAGAATCCAAATGTATACACAAGGAGGATTTTGAATTTCTAGAAAACTTCCTTCTGGAATATGTTATTTACCATATCTAAATAACATAGTTTTATTGTCAGATTTAAACTAAAAGATCTTTCAGTTTAAACCTTTCTGTTTCTTTCTAATCACTTTTCAATTACACAATGAAAACCAATTTAGTTGGATACTTAGCCTAATTGGTATGCTTCTACTCTTTGACCTCCAAGGCTCCACTTATGTATTCTATGCAATATGCTTGTACAATTACCTACCTATTTAGAATGCACATTCGCCATGATTTTGTACAGGACTGTCTGGTTCAATCACTGTTAAGTGCTCTTCACTCATTTTTCCTTTTAGGAGAGTAGGGTTCAAGGCATTGTTTCTAAATTCTAGGATCAAAAAAAAAAAAAAGCAAAAAACTATAACTTCTTGTTAATAGGAAAGAGCAAGCCTGAGTCAATAAAATATGTCATAAAGCAATTTATCTACATCGTTATGCCTATAGATGTGATTAAAACATTAGACAAAGTGATAGAACCAGAAGTTGACAAATAATTAGTCAATTGAATATATTAATACAATATATCAAACTTGGTGAATTAAATATTTTGTAACGATGGAGTAGATTTTTGTTTATGCCTGTGTTTATGTCTGAATGTGTATGTCTCTCTAGGCATTCAAGTTCTTTTGTGTCAAGTCCATACAATTTCTTCCAATATAATGCAATAAGCTTAAAGTTTATAAATTACCAATTTTACACCATATGTGTTTGCACCTATGTATATGAAAAAAATTCAAATATGTTATAGCTTTAAAATCAAAATAGATTTCATAGGAATCCTAGTCTTAATTGTCCAAAAGCTTTCATGAAAATAAACAAATTTATTGTTACTTAATGGAAGTCTTGAGAATCAAATTTTCTCAGTAAAGTGCAGGATGATAAGTAGCATCTCATTATGTTGAAAGACATAATTTACAAAAACCTAATATTTGGTTTTATAATTTAAATTTTTAAAACTTTTTTGATAACTATTATTTAAATTATTTATTAGCAAATAAAACAGAATAAACATCTTTTCAACAAAAATAGTTGATCCCATTAAAAAAGTATAATATATATTATATACATATATATTTATTATATGTATATATATTTATTATATGTATATCTTCGTTTATATGTATATATACACTTCTGTTATATATATATAAACTTCTGTTATATATATAAACTTCTGTTTTATATATATATATATATAAACTTCTGTTTTATATATATATATATATATATACTTCTGTTTTATATATATATATATATATAAAACTTCTGTTGATGCATTTCCCTTCAAAAGCATAAAACATCTTATATCTGGTAAAAAAACCCTGTGAATGTAAGAAATGTGGTAAAGCCTTTAGTTTTTCTATTTCCCTTGAAATATGGAAAGACCCAGTGGAGAAAAGCCTTATGAATGTAAACAAGCGGTAAGGCTTGTAGTTGTTTCAGTTTCATATAAAGACATGAAATAATTAATTTTTGAGAAATCTATATATATATGTGTATATATATTCTTACTGTCTTTATGTATTTATTCTTACTGGCTTTATATATATATTCTTACTGGCTTATATATATTTTATATATTATATATGTAAATTATATATCAAATTTTGATTATCTGTCACCCATTATATATAATATATGATATATAATATACATAATCATATATCATATATTATATTGTTATATTATATATTACATTATTTTACAAAATATATAATATACCTAATGATACATATATAATGGGTAACACATAATCAAAATTTGATATATAATATATATTATATAATGTGTGACAATCAAAATTTGATATATATATCATATATTATATATAATGGGTGACAGACAATCATTATATAGATGTAATGTATATAATGAGTTGATATATATATAATATATATAATGAGTGAGATATTCAAAATTTGACACGTAAATAAAGCCAGTAAGAACATTCCGATGTAACGCCTAAGGTTCTTGCGTAGCCACGCCAAAGAATTGGTGTGGTGGCTGACCGTGGCAAGTGATAGAGACATGGACCGACAGAGAGAAAAAGCTGTAGGCTTTATTGAGCAGAATGAAAGTCCAAAGCTTCCACAGCGTGGAATGGGTCCCGAATGGTAGCCAGAGTTGGATTATGTGATTGCCTTTTAAACTCTTTAAGGCGGGAAATATGTGTGGCGAGAAGATGTTACCAGAGAGAGAAACAAAGGCAATTAACCATTTGTGACATGTCTTAGATCTTGAGGAAAGCCGGAATTGCATCTTAGGTTTTATCCACTTTATGACCTTGCAGTGGCATGGCAGAAGAGACAGGATCTTACAGGACTTTACAAAGTATGTTTACAAGGAATTGGAATTGGGAGGACACATAAGGTCTGCTGGTCACAGGAAAATGGGCAGTTAACATTACTTTAAACTTTAGTTTTGAGGGAGAGGGAAGGGAGAAAGGGAGAGGGAAGGGAGAGAGGGAGAGAAGGATACAGGGATGCTTACAGCAAAGTTTTCGCTGTTTATAGCTTTCTTGGGGAAGAAAATACATGCACAAATCCTGCTATTAGGAATATTTTAAGCATATATCTTCAATATTATTCATCCAGGATCAAAGTAAGTCCTGATGCAGGAAATGAGTGAGCTTCACAGCTTTCTGAGCCCCTACTCGACCCAGGAAGCCCAACTGGAACCTCCTCTCACCAACAATGAACAAAATCTCATTTTTCAATTGCCCATCAATCACAGAACAATCAAACAACTACACAAAAATGAAAATTACCTACATATTAGAAATACATTTCAATTCACCTAGAGATCCAATACACTTTTAAATGAATAGAGAAGACTTTTGTTAACTGACTTAAGGAAAAAAACTCTACCTACTAAACTCTGTATACCGTGGCTTATAGAAAATCTACCAAATTCTCACCTCATGATTTTGTGCAAAACAAATGAAAATCAAAATATAGAGTCTCTCTTTAACAATGAACCACTCATAAATAGAATTTATTTATAACTAGTATAACATTTCATTTATGTGCATTTTTTTAGTATTATACAATAATTAATTGGCATCAAGCTTTCCAATTTACATATATTTATAGAATTCCTTACCAGTGGATTGGCACAACGACTTTTGAATTCATTGCTATAATCGAAAATTTTCCTGTATTTTTCACTCTACTGGGGTTTTAACTGAGTGTGTTTATATTTATAAAGTCCATCTCCAGTGTGGCTTATCATGTATCTTTGAATGAATATCAGAGAGATGAAGGTATTCCCACACTCCAATATTAATAGGGCTTTTCTCAGAAATTAGTTATTTCACGTCTTCAAATGGAACTGAAACAACTAAAGGCCTTACCACATGTTTGCATTCATAAGACTTTTCTCCACTGGCTCTTTCCATGTTTTCCAGGGAAACAGAAAAACTGAAGGCTTTACCACATTTCTTACATTCACAGGGTCTTCTACCAGATATAAGAACTTTCATGCTTTTGAAGGGAAATGGAACAACTGAAGTCTTTACCATATTTCTTAGATTCATAGGAAGAACCTGATATTTATTAAAGCTTTGCTACTGAAGGTCATTTTACATACTTTACATCAACCTCATTCTTTCATTCACACATTTAACTAAAAAGGGGAAATTTTTCTATTTCTATGGTCTCTATTTAGAAGAAACATTTTCTCTCCTGTGCTACGAGAGAAATAACTTCTCCTCAGTAAAAGAAACTATAATTTTACAGTGTGGTAAGTGTACTCTAGAGGACACATAAATTGTTTTTAAAACATATGTTAAGGGTTGGCTTGAAACCTAAACAGGGTTAGCATTTCCCCACTGTTTTGCAGATGTATAAACTGAGCCGAGTGGCTCTGTACATAATTACTGAAGATATTTTGGGAGATAGAGAAGTCATTCAACTTCCAGAGATCTTTTTTGTTTTTTCATCTGTAGAATGATGTGCCTGGGTTCAACTCTAAGCTTTCTTGAAATTTACCCTTTTGTCATGTTTTGATTTGTCCTAAATTTTATCTAACTGGTGAACCTCAGGAATCAGAACTTCTGCTTCATAAGATAATGTGCTCATTATTAAGCTCTATTTTTCTTCCCAGATGCATCCAATCTCTTTGTCTGGACTAACTTTGTTCCTTCAACATCTATTTCATGGTTTTACCTTTTTAACAGTTATTTTGTGTTACATCTACATGGTATACTTATGATCCCTTTACTTGTTTATACTTCAATTTTATTTATTTTGAGATTATTTAAGATAGAACAATATTATAATTGAGATCGCCTAGGTTCTAGAATCAAAGTAAATCTGGGTTCAAATTTCAAGATCGTCCCTTACAAGCATTGTGAGCTTGGGGAAAATTGCTTAATTTTTGTAGGGCTGTAGAATGGGGCTACTGTAGTATGTCAAAGGGTATCATTAAGTTTTAAAATTAGTAACTGTTATTAACATTCCACTAGCATTTGAAATGATATTCTTTATTAATAATATAAATTAGTTACCAAGTAGTAAACTAACTGAAGAGATTTAGCTACTAACTCCATTTAGAAGTCTTTTTACATAAAATCAGAATTATATAAATGAATATTTCAATATATAGCAAAAGAAAAAAGTTAATCTTGTTGATTAACAAATATTTTTTCTATGATCCTGTAATTTAGGGCTCTCCAACCTCCAGATCACAGGCCAGTACCAGTCCACGAACTGCTAGGAACTGGGCAGCACAGCAGGAGGTGAGTGACCAGCAAGGGAGCATTACCTCCTGAGCTCCACCTCCTGTCAAATCAGCAGTGTCTTTAGATTCTCATAGGAGTGCGAACCCTATTGTGAGCTGCACATGCAAGAGATCTAGGTTGTGTGCTCCTTATGAGAATCTAATGCCTGATGATCTGAGGTGGAACACTCCCCAAGGTTGGGGACCACTGCTATAATTATATTTCTCAGTCTCTTAGAGTTGTGTTTCTACCACAAAGTTCCAAGTTGATTTTTGGTAATTGCATGTATTTGTGGAATACAGAGTGATATATCGATACATATATACAATGTGTTATGATCAAATCAGGGTAATTATCATACTCAGTACCCCAAATAGTCATTTCTTTGTGTTGGAAACAATAAAAATTTTCTTTTCTAGCTATTGGAAATTAGGTAATAAAATTTTTAAACTATATTCACCCTACAGTGCTATAGAATAGAATACTCCTATCTAGTTGTCATTTTGTATTCGTTAATCCTTCTCTCCTATGCTTCCCTTCCCCCTACATTTTCTAGCCTCTAATAATGAAAATTCTATTTTCTACTTCTAAGAACTCAACTTTTTTTAACTCCTTCATATAAGTGAAAACATGTGTTTCTTCTATCTTTCCCTCTTTAGTTCCATATGTGTGAATGAATGAATGAAGTTGATACAAACTATGTAAAATGACCTTCAGTAGTAAAGCTTTAATAAATATCAGGTTCTTCCTGAATATATATATTATACACTCTGGTTATTAATCCTTTGTCAGATGGGTAATTTGCAGATATTTTCTTTCATTCTATTCTGTGTGTTGTCCCTTCAATTTGTTGATTGCTTCCTTTTCTGTGCAGAAGCTTTTTAACTTTATGTGATACCATTTGTCTATTTTGGCTTTGGTTGCTGTGCTTGTGGGGTATTTTTTCCCAGACCAATGTCCTGGAAATTTTCTTCAAAGTTTTCTTATAGGAGTTTCATGGTTTGGGGACTTCGATTTAAATCTTTAATCCATTTTGATTTTATTTTTGTATATGACCAGAGATAGGGGTCTACTTTCATTCTTCCTTATATGGATATAGTTTTCCCAGCACCATTTATCGAAGAGATTATCTTTTCCCCAGTGTATATTTTTGGCATTTTTATATAAAAATGACTTCACTGTAGGTGTGTGGATTTGTTTCTGGGTTCTCTATTCTGTTCCATTGGTCTGTATGTCTGTTTCTAAGCCAAGCCTATGCTCTGAGAATTGTCTTACGGTTTTCTTCTTTCCCTTTCCTTTTTCCTTTCCCTTTACCTTTCTTCTTTCCTTTCCTTTCTTTCTTCTTTCTTTTTTTCCACCCTCCCTTCCTTTCTGCCTTCCTTTCTTTCATTTTTGTTGTTTTGGTTACTTCTTTCCTTTTCTTTCTTTTTTCTTGCAAGTATTTGTCCAGTCAAATGGATTTCTAGCCTAGGCATGTGCAGGTTGGCGTACAGCCAAAGACTCACATAGAACCCTATGCAAATTATGAAATTCCTTCTCTACCTGGATCTCTCCTCTCTGGAATTGTACCCTGTAAATTCTAGTCAATTCAGCTTCCCTGAACTCAAATTTCTGTCTCTTTAATTCAGTGAGCATGCCAGGTTCTATTTCCCTATATCATGTACTGAAAATTGGCTCCAGGCAGAAAGTCTTGGCAATGGTAGAGCTCAATTCAGTATACTCCTTATTTTAGAAAATACTATTCCAGTGCTGCTTATTACCTGATATCTGCAAATTGTTCTTTTTTAACTATTTTTTCAAATTGACACACACAAATTTTATATATTTATGGTGTACAATATGAAGATGTAGTTCATGTGTATATTATAGAATGGCTAAATGAAACAAATATCATACGTATTACCTCAAATACTGGTAATATTTTGGTGTGTGAGAAAACTTAAAATTTACCCTTAGTGTGTGTGTGTATATATATTTTTTATTTTTATTTATTTATTTTTTTAAAGACTAATTCTTGCTCTATATCGCCCAGGCTGGAGTGCAATGGCGCAATCTCAGCTCACGGCAACCTCTGCCTCCCTGGTTCAAGCAATACTATTGCCTCAGCCTCCCAAGTAGCTGAGAATACAGGCACCCTCTACCATGCTCAGCTAATTTTTGTATTTTTAATAGAGATGAGGTTTCACCGTGCTGGCCAGGCTGGTCTCGAGCTCCTGACCTCAAGTGATCCACCCACCTCGCCTCCCAAAATGCTGGGGTTACAGGTATGAGCCACTGCACATGGCCAGTATATATGTTTTTTTTTTTTCCCCACATACTTTATCAAGTTTTCCAGGCATTTATGTCAGAAAACTAGTTCCAGACCCTGATACTTTCTTATGAACATAAGTGGAAGGGCTATATATCAATTTAATAATATTGCTCTTACAAAATAATTTTTTCCTCAGGCTCAAATATGACAACTCTCTACTTGAAACATGAAAATGGCTAATTCCTGTATAAAAAGATCTAAATGTATTAGTTGAGTTTACAATGCCCCTCAAAATCTGGTTCATTCTTACTTCTCCTGTTTTCGTTCTTACCGCTTCCCTCTTAAATTGACCCTATATGGAACCCCTTGGAGGTCACCAAGTACATCTGTGGCTTTTTCTCTTTGTAAAGCTAATTTTAATTTTATTTAATTTTGTAACATTTATCGTTTTTCAAAACTCCCTTCAGATTTTCTTCTCTCAACATCTGCACTCTCTACAAGATACAAATTTATTATATGCATAAAACATCCTGTATTTACAATAATGGACTTTCCATAACACTACAAAGATATTGAGAGAAATATTGTCATGTATCACTGTTTGCCAAGTTCCCTGCGCAGTGGCTTTCAAATAGCATCCTATTTCTTTTATTTAACTACACAAATGTCTTCAGTTAGATTGTGGGAATACTAAAGAAGGTCAATCAAATTTTAAGATTGACGATTCTCAGAGTTGAAACTCATGAATTCTGATAGGAGGTGGGTCTAGAAGATTTTCTCAGTTAACTATTACTGTATATATTTTACAAATACAGAAGTTAGTGGATTAAAGAGTAGCAATTTTATTATTTTTCATGATTCTGTGAGGATTTTGTGTGCCATAGTAAACTAAGCAACTTGGCTTCCTGGAATGTCCATAAATGGCTCATTTACGCAGCTAGTTGTTGGTGCAGACAGTTAGATGGAGTCTCAACTGGGGCTGTCAAATGAAACACCTCTGTCCTTAACTGCTTGGCCTCTATATGTGGTTTGAGCTTCTCCCAGATTGATGACTGAGTTCTAAGAGGCATGAAGTGAAAACTGGCAGTCCTTTTAAGGCTACAATGGAAAGTCCCATACTGTGACACATTTCATTATCAAGACCAATCATAAGGCCTGCACAGATTCAAGAGCAGATGAAATAATGTCCACCTGTTGCTGTGAGAAATGTATATATGGACACAGTGGGAGGAAATTGTTGGAGGTCATGGTGAGAGAGTAGTTACCACAGGGAGCTGGAAGAAATTCTGTTCTGTTTGATGTTTCTTTGTACTCTTCTTTCAGTGTGGATTTTTGGTTTGTTTGTTTGTTGGCAGGTACGGGGTTAGAGTGTAGAAAGACCCAGAACCAGGAATGTTTACAGCTTACATGAGTCTTTATTCCTGTTGTGGCAGCCACACCATCACTTCTTATCTATTTGAAATACATGTATCTCTTTTTTGGGTACAAAATTTGGATAAGCTTCATATTCTCAGAGGTTACCGCAGATCTCTATTGGTAATATTATTTTCCTGATTTATTTTTGTTAACCATCCTTTGCTCTAATCTCGTAAGTTTTAAGAATGTTATTTGCCATTGTTCATCACAAGATAGACCTTTACCAAAAAATATCAAAATGAACTTACATGAAAATAAACACAGTTTCAAAAGTATATTTGACATTGTGAAAAAGCTAAAAATGTTATGATTTTTAAAGCTTGTGATTTAGTTCTTTCCAACATCTCCAGTATTCAACTGTAATAGGAAAGTACTATTTATTTTTTGTTTTTAAAAATAAAATTAATAAAATTGGAAATATTGAATAACTACAAACATTTTTACTCCAGTTTAATTTAAAAATGTGATAACATATTCCCCAAAAATTGCTTTTCTAAACAAAGCTATCAAAAATACCATATTCATTTTATCTTTCTCTGTTTGGCTTATTTCACTTAACATAATGTCCTCCAGGGTCATCCATGTTTCCATAAATGATAGGATTTCATTATTTTTCATGCCTGAATAATATTCCACATTTTCTTTATCCATTTATCCATTGATGGGCACTTATACTGATTCCACACCTTGACCACTGGGAATAATGCTACAATAAATATAGAGGTGCAGATATCTCTTCAATATACTGATTTCTTTTCCTTTGGATATATACCGGGAAGTAAAATTGCTGGATCACATGATAGCTCTAGTTTTAGGTTTTGAGGAATCTTTACATTATTTCCATTATAGCTCTACTAATTTACATTCACAGCAACAGTGTGTAAGATTTCCCTTTTCTCTGCATCCTTGCCAGCATTTGTTATTTTTGTTAACAACTATTCTAACTAGAGTGATATCATATCTCATTGTGGTTTTGATTTACATTTCTCTGATAATTAGTGATGTTGAGCATGTTTTCATACATTTGTCTGTTATTTGTATGTCTTCTTTTGAGAAATGTCTACTCCAATTCTTGGCCTGTTTTTTAAACAGATTTGTTTTGTTGTTGCTTTTTCACTATTAAATTGTTTGGGTTTCTCGTCCATTCTGAATGTTAGTCCCATGTTGGACAAATAATTTGCAAATATTTTTCCATTCTATGGGTTGCTCTTTATTCTGTTGATAGGTCCCTTGCTGTGCAGAGGCTTTTTATTTTTATATAGTCCAATTTGTCTATTTTTGCTTTTGTTGTATATACTTTTAGTCTAACATAAAATCTTTGCCTAGACCAATGTCCTGAAATATTTCCCCTATGTTTTATTCTAGTAGTTTTATAGTTTTGGGTTTTATCTTTAAGCCTGTAAGTCCATTTGGGTTTTTATTTTTATATGGTGAGAGAGAGAAGTCTAGTTTTATTCTTCTGCATATAGATATCCAGTTTTCACAAAACCATTTATTTAAGAGGCTGTCCTTTCCACAAAGTATGTTTTTGATGTCTTTATCAAAAATCAGTTGGCTATAAATAAGTGGATTTATTTCTATGTTATCAATTCTACTCCATTGGTCTATGGGTATGTTTTTATAACAATATGCTGTTTTGTTTACTGTAGCTTTTTATTAGGTTGGTGCAAAGGTAACTGTGGTTTTTATTATTACTTTTAATGGCAAAAAATGCAATTACTTTTGCACTAATCTAATAGTATATTTTGAAGTGAGATAGTTTGATGTCTCCAGTTATATTCTTTTTTCTTAGTATTGCTTTGGATATTTGGATTCTTTTGTGGTTTTCTACAAATTGTAGAAATTTTCCTATTTCTATGAATAATTTCATTAGTACTTAGTATCGCATTGTGGTTTTGATTTGCATTTCCCTGATGATTAGTGATGTTAAGTATTTTTTCATGTTTGTTGGTCATTTGTGTTTCTTCTTTTGAGAATTGTCCATTCGTGTTCTTAGCCCACTTTTTGACGGGATTGTTTGTTTATTTTTCTTGCTGATTTGTTTGAGTTTGTTGCAGATTCTGGATTAGTCCTTTTTCAGATGTACAGATTGTGAAGATTTTCTCCCACTCTGTGGGTTGCCTATTTACTCTGCTGACTGCTCCTTTTGCTGTACAAAAGCACGTTAGTTTAATTAAGTCTCAGCTATTTATCTTTGCTTTTATCGCATTTGCTTTTGGGTTCTTGGTCATGAAATCCTTGCCTAAGCCAATATCTAGAAGAGGATTTCCAATGTTATCTTCTACAATTTTTATAGTTTTGGGTCTTAGATTTAAGTACTTGACCCATTTTGAGTTGATTTTGTATAAAGTGAGAGATGAGGATCCAGTTTCATTCTCCTACATGTGGCTTGCCAATTATCCCACCACCATTTGTTGAATGAGTTTTCCTTTCCCCACTTTATGTTTTTGTTTTCTTTGTCAAAGATCAGTTGGTTGTAAGTATTTGGGTTTATTTCTGGCTTCTTTATTCTGTTCCATTGGTCTATGTGCCTGTTTTTATGCCAGTGCCATGCTGTTTTGGTGACTATGGCCTTATAGTATAGTTTGAAATCAGGTAATGTGATGCCTACAGATTTGTTCCTTTTAGTTAGTCTTGCTTTAGCTATGTGGGCTTTTTGATGTTGTTGTTGTTGTTCTATATAAACTTTAGAATGCTTTTTACTAATTCTGTGTAAAATGATGGTGGTATTTTGATGGGAATTGCATTGAATTCGTAAGTTGTTTTTGGCAGTATGGTCATTTTCACAATATTGTTTCTACCTGTCCATGAGTATGGGATGTGTTTCCATTCATTCGTGTCATCTGTGATTTCTTTCTGCAGTGTTTTGTAGTTTTCCTTATAGAGGTCTTCCACCTCCTTGGTTAGTTACATTCCTAAATAGTTTTATTTTTTTTCAGCTGTTGTAAAAGGAGTTGAGTTCTCCACTTGATTCTCAACCTGGTCGCTGTTGTTGTGTAGAAGAGCTACTGATTTGTGTACATTAATTTTGTGCCCGGAAAATTTGCTGAATTCTTTTATCAGTTCTAGAGCTTTCTGGAGGAGTCTTTAGGGTTTTCTAGGTAAACAATCATATCTTCAGCAAACAGTGACAGTTTGACTTTCTCCTTACCAATTTGGAGGAGAGGTAAGAGTGGGCATCTTTGTCTTGTTCCAGTTTTTAGAGAGAATGCTTTTAACTTTTCCCCATGCAGTATTATGTTGGCTGTGGGCTTGTCTAAGATGACTTACATTACATTGATTTATGTCCCTTGTATGCTAATTTTGCTGAGAGTTTTAATCATAAGGGGATGCTGGATTTTGTAAGGTGCTTTTTCTGCATCTATTGAGATGATCATGTGATTTTTGTTTTTGATTCTGTGTATGTGATGTATCACATTAATTGACTTGTGTATGTTAAACTATCCCTGCATCCCTGGTATGAAACCCACTTGATCATGGTGGCTTACCTTTGGATATGTTGTTGGATTTGGTTAGCTAGAATTTTGTTAACAATTTTAGCATCTATATTCATCAGAGATATTGGTCTATAGTTTTCTTTTTTGGTTATGTCCTTTCCTGGTTTTTGTATTGGATAATACTGGCTTCATAGAATGATTTAAGGAGGGTTCCCTCTTTCTCTATCTTGTGGAATAGTGTCAATAGAGTTGGTACCAATACTTCTTTGAATTTCTGGTAGAATTCCGCTGTGAATCCAACTGGTCCTTGACTTTTATTTGTTGGTAATTTTTTTATTACCATTTCAATGTCACTGCTTGTTATTGGTCTGTTCAGAGTATCTAATTCTTCCTGATTTAAGTTAAGGAAGGTTGTATCCTTCCAGGAATTTATCCATCTCTTCTAGGTTTTCTAGTTTATGTGCATAAACCTGTTCATAGTAGCCTTGAATGATCTTTTGTATTTCTGTGGTGTCAGTTGTAATATCTACCATTAAGTTTCTAATTGAGCTTATTTGTATTTTCTCTTTTTTTTTTTCTTGGTTAATCTTGCTAATGGTCTATCAATTTTATTCATCTTTTCAAAGAACCAGGTTTTTTCCATATCTTTTATATTTTTTTTCCCAATTCCATTTAGTTTTGCTCTGATCATGCTTATTTCCTTCCTCCTGTTGACTTTGGGTTTTGTTTGTTCTTGTTTCTTTAGTTCCTTGAGGTTTGACCTTAGATTATCTGTTTGTGCTCTTTCCATCTTTTTGATATAGGTGTTTAGGTCTATGAAATTTCCTCTTAGCACTGCCTTTGCTGTATGCCAGAAATTTTGATAGGTTGTGTCACTATTGTCTTTCAGTTTGAATAATTTTTAAATTTCCATTTTGATTTCATTTTTGATGCAATGATTATTCAAGAGCAGGTTATTTAATTTCTATGTATTTGCATGGTTCTGAAGGTTCTTTTTGGAGTTGATTTCCAGTTTTATCCCACTGTGGTTTGAGAGAGTGCCTGATAGAATTTCAATTTTCTTGAATTTATTGAGACTTGATTTGTGAACTATCATATGGACTATCTTGAAGACAGTTACATGTGCTGTTGAATGGAATGCATATTCTGTGGTTTTTGGGTAGAATATTCTGAAAATATCTGTCAAGTCCATTTGTTCCAGGGCATAATTTAAATCCATTCTTTCTGTTTTGACTTTCTGTCTTGATGACATGTTTAGTGCTGTCGGTGAAGTATTGATATTCCCCACTATTTTTATGTTGCTGTCTATCTCATTTCTTAGGTCCATTAGTAATTGTTTTATAAATTTTGGAGCTCCAGAGTTAGATGCATATCTATTTAGAATTGTGATATTTTCCTGTTGGACAGGGCCTTTTACCATTATATAATGGCCCTCTTTGTCTTTTTTAACTGCTGTTGCTTTAAAGTTTGTTTTGTCTGATATAAGAATAGCTACTCCTGCTCACTTTTGTTGTCCATTTGCATGGAATTTCTTTTTCCATCACTTTGCCTTTTAAGTGTATTTGAGTCATTATGTATTAGGTGTGTCTCTTGAAAGCAGCAGATAATTGGTTGGTAAATTCTTATCCATTCTGCAATTCTGTATCTTTTAAGTGGACCATTTAGGCCATTTACATTCAACATTAGTATTGAGATGTGAGGTAGCAATTTATTCATCATGCTGTTTTTGCCTGTATACCTTGTTTTTTTGTTTGTTTTTTAAATTGTATTTTTCTTTTATATGTTCTGTGAGATTTATGCTTGAAAGAGGTTGTCTTTTGGTGTGTTTCCAGGATTTGTTTCAAGATTTAGAGCTTTTAGGAGTCCTTGTAGTGCTGGCTTGGTAGTGGCAAATTCTCCCAGCATTTGTTTGTCTGAAAAAGGTGTATGTGTCCTCATATATGATACTTATTTTACGGGAAACAAAATTCTTGGCTGATAATTGTTTTGTTTGAGGAGGCTGAAGATTGAGCCCCAGCCTCTTCTAGCTTGTGGGGTTTCTGCTGAGAAATCTGTTATTAATCAGGTAGGATTTCCTTTACAAGTTACTTGGTGCTTTTGCCTCACAGCTGTTAAGATTCCTTCATCTTAACTTTAGAAAACCTGACAACAATGTGCCTAGGTGACAATCCTTTTGTGACGAATTTTCCAGGTGTTCTTTGAGCTTCTTGTATTTGGATGACTACTTCTCTAGCAAGGCTGGAAAAGGTTTCCTCAATTATTCCCTCAAATATATTTTCCACACTTTTAGATTTCTCTTCTTCCTTAGAATGCAGATTATTCTTAGGTTTGGTCATTTAACATAATCCCAGACTTCTTGGAGGCTTTGTTCACATTTTCTTATTCATTTTTCTTTCTCCTTGTTGCATTTGGTTAACTCAAAAACCTTATCTTCATGCTCTGAAGTTCTTTCTTCTGCTTGTTTGATTCTATTGCTGAGACTTTCCAGAGCATTTTCCATTTCTGTAACTGTGCCTACTGTTTCCTGAAGTTTTTATTGTTTTTTATTTATGCTATTATTTCATTGAATATTTCTCCCTTCATTTCTTGTATCATATTGTTTTTTTTTATTTCCTTACATTGAGCTTTGCCTTTCTCTGGCGCCTCCCTGATTAGCTTAATAACTAACCTTCTGAATTCTTTTTCAGGTAGATCAGGGATTTCTTCTTGGTTTGGATCAATTGCTGGTGAGCTAGTGTGATATTTTGGAGGTTTTAAAGAACCTTGTTTTGTCATATTACAAGAGTTGGTTTTCTGGTTCCTTCTCATTTGGATAGGTTCTATCAGAGGTACAGTCTAGGGCTCAAGGCTGTAGTTCAGTTCCTTTTGTCCCATGGGGTGTTTCCTTGATGTAGTACTCTCCCCCTTTTCCTGGGGATGTGGCTTCCTGAGAGCTGAGCTGTAGTGATTGTTATCTCTCTTCTGGGTCTAGCCACCCAGCAAGTCTACCAGACACCGGGTTGGTACTGGGGACTGTCTGCACAGAGTCCTTTGATATGAACCATCTGTAGGTCTCTCAAATGTGGATACCAGCACCTGCTCTGGAGATGGTGGCAGGGGGGTGAAAGGGACTATGTGAGGGTCCTTAGCTTTGGTTAATTAGTGTACTATTTTTGTGCTAGTTGGCCTCCTGCTAGGAGGTGGCACTTTCAAAAGAGTATCAGCTGTGGTAGTATGGGGAGGAAGAGGTGGTGGGCAGGGCCCTATAACTCCCAAGAATATATGCTCTTTGTCTTCAGTTACCAGGGTGGTTAGGGAACGACCATTACGTGAGGGCAGGGCTAGGCAGCCTGAGCTCAGACTCCACTTGGGTGGGTCTTCCTGCGGCTGCTGTGGGAAATGGGGGTGAGGTTCCCAGGTCAAAGGAGTTATGTTCCTAGGAGGATTATGGCTGTCTCTGCTGTGTAATGCAGGTTGTCAGGGAAATGGGGGAAAGCTGGCAGTCACAGGCCTCACCCAGATCCCATGCAACCCAAAGGGCCAGTCTCATTCCCAACCATGCCTCCATCAGAAGCACCCAGACTGTTTCCAGGCAGTGGGTGAGCAGGGCTGAGAACTTTTCCCAGGCTACCCACCTGGGGCTTTCCTTCTGTCCCCACCTGTGGAGTCTGCACACTGGATTCATTTTCTCTCCCAAGTTCTGGCCAGGAGACTTCTTGAGTGGTTCAAATTGTTACAAAGTTTAGCTGGAGGTTTCCTTCTCCCTGTGGCCTTTTCCCAGTGCCTCCGGCAACCCTCTTGAAGGACCCTGTGAGGTGAGGCAGGAATGGTTTGCTAGGGGACCCAGTGAGCCCACAGGGATTTTCCTGTTGCGTCCACTACCTCCGTATTTTGCTCAGCTCTCTAAATTGACTCAATTCTAGGTAAGGTCAGAATCTTCTCCTTATGTAATTAGACCTTCAGGTTCCCCATTAGGGTTGTATGTTCAGGGGTGGAGATCTCCCTTTCTCACTTTCAAAGTTTGGGTATTTACAATATTTCAGGCATCTCCCGGGTCCTGTAGGAGTAATCCGCTTCCTTTAGAGGATCTGCAGGTTATCTTGGTTTTCCTAATGTGTTCCTGCAGTCACTCTGGAGCAAAAGTTCACAATGCGAATCTCTACATGTTATTCTGCCCGTCCAAGTGGGAGCTGCAAGTTAGTCCTGCCTCTCGTCAACCATGATCTCCAGGCTCTCTTCTGGTAGAATGTTTTAATTTCTTGCTTTTTTATTATTTTTATGTATATATTATCATTGCCTTATGGCTACAATGAAGCTTACAAAAACATATTTTAACTAGTCATTTTAAACTAATAAAACTTAGCTGAGATAAAAAAAAAAAAAAAGGAGGAACTAGAAAAAAAGAGCCGAGAGAAAACTAAAAACTCTATACTTTAATTCCTTCCCACTTTTGGACCTTTTGTAGTCTCTACATTTTGGTTTATTGTCTATCTCTCAACAAATTGTTGTAGTTATTATTGTTTTTGATTGGTTCGCCTTTTAGTCTTTGAACTAAAGATATCTTTGGTTTATCCATTGCAATTACAGTGTTAGAGTATTCTGTATTGTCTCTCTACTGGCTTTTATCAGTGCATTTTATACAACCAAATGATTTCTTGTTGTATATTAACGTCTTTTTATTCTAATTGAAGAATTCTCTTTAGCGTTAATTTTAAAACAGGTCTAGTGTTTATGAATTTTCACAGCTTTTGTTTGTCTAGAGGTAGTCTTTATTTCTCCTTCATGCTTGAAAGATAACCTTGCTTTGCTGGATACAGTATTTTACTAAAAAGTTTTTTTTTTTTCCTTTCACATTTTGATTATGCCATTCCATTCTCTTCTAGCCTATAAAGTTTCTGCTGAGAAGTCTGCTGCAAAATGTATCATAGCTCCTTTATATGTTAGTTGCTTCTTTTTTTATTGATGCTTTTAGAATCTTCCCTTTGTCCTTGACTTTTGGTAGTTAGCTTATAATATGTCTTGAGGTAGTTTTTATTTGGGTGGGATCTTCTTAGTGTTCTTTGACCTTCTTGTACCTGGATATTCATAACTTTATGTTTGGAAAGTTCTCTGTTATTTCTTTGAATAAACCTTCTACCCCAATTTCTTCCTCTACATCTTCTTCAAGGATAATATCCCTTAAATTTGCCCTTTTGTGGTTATATTCTACATCTCATGGGCGTTTTTCATTGTTCTTTTTCTATTTTTTCCTTTCTGACTGTGTATTTTCAAAAAGCCTGCATTTACACTCACTTTTATTTTCTTCTCCTTGATCAATTTTTCTGTTGAAACCCATTTTTTAGTTTGTCAATTGAATTTATTAGCTCTAGATTTTTTACCTGATTCCGAAAAATTATTTCAATCTTTCTATTAAAGTTCTCTGATAGAATTCTGAATTTTTCTCTGTGTTTTCTTGAAGCTTATTGAGCTTCCTCAAGACAGTTATTTTGAATTCCCTAGCTGAGAAGTCATAAATCTCTATCACTCCAGAATTGGTCACTGATGCCTTATTTAGTCTGTTTGGTGAGGTCATGTTTTACTGGATATTCTTAAAGTTTATGGACATTCATCAATGTCTGGGCATTTTATACCAGTCTTCGCCATCTGGCCTTGTTTGTATCCATCTTTCTTGAGAGAACTGATATTTTGGCCCTCATGGAGGTGTTTTCTTGCATAGATAGTTGTTCAATTTGTGTTCTTCTGGTGGTTGGAACTGTCACTCGATGGTTATATCTAGCCAGCTTGCTCCATCTTCCTCATTTCATTTGCTCTTGCTTTTTGAGTTCCTGGAGTTGCAGGGTTAGGTTATTTATTTGAAATATTTCTGCTTTTCTGATGGAGGTATTTATTGCTGTAAACTTACCCCTTAGTACTGCTTTTGCTGTATCCTATCGGTTGTAGTATGCTGTGTTTTTATTTTCATTTGTTTCAAAAATTTTTTTATTACTTTCTTAACTTCTTTATTAATCCATTGGTCATTCAAGGGCGTGTTGTTTAACTTCCCTGTACTTGTATAATTTCAAATTTTTTTATCTGTATTGATTTCTAATTTTATTCCATTTTGGTCTTAATCTTGTTGCGTGAGAGATGTCTTTCCTGTCATTCTGTAATTATATTTCTCAGACTTTTGAAGTTATGTTTCTAGCACCAACGTTCCAACTTTATTTTTTTCTGTAGCTATTCTTTTAATTGCATGTGCTCAATGCATATAAGGAAATGCATAAAATTTGAACTATATGAAATAAGCCTTTAGTCTAATATATTTTGGGGAAAGACACTATTCTGTAATATGCGATAACCTCAATATATCTAGAATGGTTTTAGATTCATTTTAAATGACTTCATCTTGATTCCTAAGGCCACACCACCACTCCTAATCTTTAGCTGCTATGGTATTGGAAGAATTATGAGCATTGATTGTAGCTGAGAAATAAACTAGCAATGCAAGGCCCATGAGGTTTTATCCTATCTCTCTTTTTAGATTTTTTTTTTGATCAGGCAAAATACTTCTCTCTCCATACTTTAGAAAATGGATTTGTGTAATGAAGCTGGTGGAATCATTCTTTCTAAAGCTCTTAGATCAGATGATGATAGAATATTGATGGTGACTATTTTGGAGGTTTGATTTAAATATGTCTGGAGAATTTAAAATTAATTGCTGACAACATAAAAGGAAGTAGGGTAGGGTGATATGACTTTGGACATTTTTTCTTGTTATTGTTTCAGTATAGCACAGCAGCATATGTGCTATTTTATGTGGAAGTAGAAATGTTAGAATAATAACACAAATAGCAGAAACGTATTCTTCCATTTAGATTTAGATCCCTGGCATTACATGCTTTGAAAACTAGAGGTGAGACAAAAATCAACATGTTGATCTCTTTTGTTTTTTTAACCACGTAATCTAGGGACAATAAAACCAAAAGATAAGTTGACCCAACTTCATACTACACACTTTTGGCTGTGCCATGTCTCTACTATATTTAGCAGCAATCTTGAGGCAGAGCAATTGTTATGGCAAGACAAAAAGATGGGAAGAAAAAATGTAATCTATTTTTATTTTGTCCCCTAGATATTAGAGAAATCATCAGGTAAATTTATATAAAACTTCTTTTGACATTCTAGAAACAGAATCTCCTAAGGCCTGAAATTATCTCAGATTTTGTTTTATAGATAAAGTTCATGATTACATAGCTAGGTAATTATGATGGTAATAATAATATTCATATTTTTCTATTGTCTATTCACTCTTATACCAACTATCGAAGGTTCAATGACTATGGATTTACCTATTGTTCTTTTGGCTCAGCTGCAAACTGGGATTTCTAACCATAAAGGCCACAAGAAAGAATCCATAAGGAAATCTTTCTTTCATCCTCATCTCATCTCTACCAGTACCAAGCTGGTAGAATGTGGACCGGTTATTATTATTATTACTTGCATGGACAACAGGCTTGAGGTTGCAAAGAAAACTGTCCTCACTAGCTGACAGAAAATAAAGCAACCACTGTTTCTAAGATTCAATCAATTCAATAAGATGAATAAAAATATTTGTCTATTTTTTCAAGTTATTGAGAACTTGAGTTTATATTAAAATTGGCAGGAGCACACTAAAACTTTGGTTACTCAAGCTTATTTACACTATGTGCATAAGGGTAGAGATGAGAACACAGAGATAAAAGAAGGTTGACGTGGAGTTGGATTTAGAGATAATAAAGCAAAACAGCAATTATTACAGTTTAGCTATTGATACTTGGTTTGGTTTTATTTGCTGTTTTGCTACAAGGTACTATTTGGGTAACCTCACATTTGTCCTATATTGGGAAATATTGGCATACATAGCAACATGGAAGACTGCCTTAAGAGTATCCCCAAATTCCTTGGGAGTACTCTAGACAAAGGACAATAACATTCTGATAAAAATTACCATATCATTATGAAATTTATCTCTACCACTTCTATCCTCCAATATGTCTACATGGGAGATTTCCAGACTATTATTATTGTGTTTATAATATACTTTTTAATTATTTATTGATTAAATATTTTTATTAATTATATAATTCATTATACAATGAATTATATAATCAAATAATTATTAATTAATTAATTAAATATTTTTCTTTTAATAGACAGCTAACTGAGTTAGGGCACAATAATACACTCTGTGTATTATTCAAGGTACTCCAGAGAAACAATATTAATAGGATATTAATATTAATATTGCAGTATATACATGTATATCTTATTAATGTTATTATTATTGTTATATATATGTCCTATTAATATTGTTAATATGAATACAGAAAGAGTTAATAGGAATACAGAAAGAGATTCATTGAGGGATTGACTTACATCATTATGGAGGTTGAGAAGTTCCACCATCTTCCTTCTCCAAACTGTAAGTTGAGGAAAGCCAGTGGTGTAGTTCAAGTCCAAACCTGAAGACCTGAGAACCAGGGAAGCCAATGGTGTAAGCCCCAGTCCAAGTACAAATGCCCAAGAAACAAGATGGCTGATATCTGATGCTATGAGAAGATGGGTTCCTCAGCCCAAGCAAAGAGCATATTCACCTTTCCTTTACTGTGATGTTTAATTTTATATGTCAACTTGACTGGGCTAAGAAGTGACCAGATAGCTAGTGAAAACTTACGTATTAGTGTGTCTTTGAGGGTGTTTCCAGAAGAGATGAGCATTAGAATGAGTAGACTAAGTAAACAAGACCTTCCTCACCAATGTGGGTGGGCATCATATAATCCCTTGATGGCTCAAATATAACAGAAAGCAGAGAAAACTGTGCTCTTGGTTTAACTGAACTAGATCACCAGCTTGCAGATGGCAAATGACAAATTTCTCAGCCTTCATAATTGTGTGAGTCAATCTAAGAGTAATTCCTTTTTTATCTATCTATCTATCTATCCATCCACCTATTTATAATCTATCTATATTCTATTGGTTTTGCTTTTTACAAAGAACCCTAATACAGATTTTGATACTCAGAGTAGTTCTAGGGCAAAAAAAATTAAGAATAAGTTTTCTGAATTGTGTCTAGGGTTTCTGGAATTGGCTCTCTAATCTCATTTGGTCTAAAGACAATCAAAAGTCTATTTTTAGTAGAAAAAAAGGTACAGTTAGTTCGTGGCATGAACCTTTTTATCGAGTTATGCCACATCTGCATGGAATACTCCTAATCAACCACTTGTAAGAAGCAAAAAGCTAAGTGACATTTATATACTACTTTTGAGTATTTTTTAAAAGCTAAGAAATACAATGGCATTGTTTGGTTACTCTTAATGTTGCTGGACAAAGTGGTAAAAGATCAATGAGCTCAGGAATTCAAATTCTCAGTTCAAGCATGGCATAAATGACCTAAGTCACAAGGGTGTCCAATCTCTTGGCTTCCCTGGGCCATTTTGCAAACAGAATTGTCTTGGGCCACACATAAAATACACTCACTAACTCTAATGATTGCTGATGAGATTTCTTAAATCACAAAACAAATCTCATAAAGTTTTAAGAAAGTTTATAAATTTGTGTTGGGCTGCATTCAAAGCCATCCTGGGCCACATGCAGGCTGCAGCAGTATGTGGGTTAGACAGGCTTGACCTAAGAGCTTCCAAGTATGCCTTGAAAGATATCCTTCCCTCTTGTAGTCTGTCACAGGGTTAAAATTGCTGAAAATCAACCACAGGACATCATCTCATGATTGGCTGAATTACAGTGCAAGTTGAACACCCAGACTTGCAGGTTGCCTAATGTTAGAGTGAGGACATTTATTGGAAAACAATGTGTTCCTGTAAGCTGGTGTATTAGTTTGTTTTTGCATCACTATTAAAGAGTATCTGGGACTGGGTAATTTATAAAGAAAAGAGGTTTAATGGGCTCATGGTTCTGTAGGCTGTACAGGAAGCATGATATTGACATCTGCTCCTGGTGAGGACCTCAGGGAGATTAACAATCATAGCAGAAGTGAAGCAAGAGAAGGCACATCACATGGCGAGGGCAGGAGCAACGGGGTGATGGTCGGGAGGTCCCAGACTTTTAAACCACCAGATTTTGTGTGAACTAGCTGTGTGAGAACTCACTTATCTCCAAGGGAATGGTGTCAAACCATTCTTGAGGTATTCACCACCTTGATCCAACCACTTCCCATCAGGCCCCACCTCTAACATTGGTAATTACTTTTCTACATGAGATTT